>NC_000007.14:145973531-146125046 GCF_000001405.40 Homo sapiens
TTAAACAAAATTGACAAAACTTTAGCCGGAGCAATTAAGAAGAAAAGAAAGACAATCAAAATAAATAAAATCAGGAATGAAAAAGGAGATATTACAAATGATATCACAGAAATTTAAATGAGCATTAGTGGCTAATGTGAGTAACTGTATGACAACAAATGGGAAAAGCTAAAAGTCCATTTCTGGATTACCCGGTCTATTCCTTTGAGCTACTTTTGTGTCTTTTTGCCAACAATCACACCGTTTAGCCAAACGCTATACGACCATAACTTTATAGGGCATCTTGAAATCTGCTCCCGTACGATGCCCTAAAATTCTAGCTGCCTTAGCAATTCCACATTCTATTCTGTTTTTCCCATCTAATGAGATTGGTTTTCTTTCTTGTACTTTATTTCTCTGCATCATAGTTTAGAAAAAGCTCCCAGGAAAAAAGCTTCAGTAAATGTGGAACGTATATCATTTCTCTTAAGACTTTCAGTCCTGTACTATCAGCAGTGTAATAAAAGTTTCTTAATATATTTTTCCAATTTATAATTGTTCACTATAGGAAGTAAGTCTACAACCAACTACCCTGTCATGTCAGGATCAAAAGTCAGCTTTCAGTTGCTTTCATCCACCAATTATTCTCTTCCAAAAATTTAGGGATATATATAATTTATATATGCATTCAGATGTAATGCATATATACAATGTACATATATTATTTTTACATATACACTCATATATATGTGCATATGTACATGTATATATGTATGTGCGTGTGTGTGTATGTGTGTGTGTATATATACACACACACATACACACACACGCACATACATATATACATTCTGTTTGCTACCTTCTTATCCTTACTTCCTACCTAGAATAACAGCCTTAGAGATTGTCGTTTGGCCTTCTATAGTACTAACAAATGGGTGATTAACTGATGTGTATGACAACAGAAGCTGTCTATAAGAAGAGTCAGTCTAGGCAGATGTGTAAATTATCCAATATTTAATTTATGTGTGCAGAAGCACAGCCTTCATGAGCACACCCCATATTGTAGCGAATATAGAAGACTTAGGCAGAGATCAGAAATTCAATAAGCTTGCAATGGCTTCTTTTTAAATAACAGGTTTTCCATGGGTTGGTATCATGATAAGAGCAAGGCTTTGGAGACAAACCCAGAAGAAACTTGGTTTGAGCCCTTGTGATATCTGTAATATAACTACTCCAAGCATCAATGTCCTCATGGGTTAAAAGAATACCGCAGGAATACCATTTTTTAAAGATTGTTTCAAGGATTTAAACAGTGAATCCATGTAATGTACTTATCAAAGTGTCTGGCTCTCACTTTCTGGTTAATAAATGGCAGTTGTTATCATTACAACTGAAAGTGCATACAACTATCTTTGGCTGTATACTAGAAACCAACAAATGCCATTACCTCCTGGAATATATTAACAAGTGGTCTGACAGCTTAATGATGTGTGCCAGCACATTGAAAGATAACAGGAAAAAATAAAAACAACTCAACCCAGAGGATTACTAGGATGGGGATCAGGGTTGGGGAAGAAGAAAGAACAAAATTCACCTTTGGTCCCCAAAAATCCCAGGCATATTTTAAAAAGATAATCCTTCTGAAATTTATTCTTTTACTATAACATAAATTCCCTTAACATCCTGTATGATTCTAACCCTTCATGAGTATGTGTAATATATGTATGAACAAGCATAGAGTAAATAATGAGTAATATTGTATTTAAGTTGGTTTTGTCAATTTTTTCACTTTGAATTAGTGACATTGAACATTTCTGCATATATGGTGTCTTAACTACAATGATATGTCATAGTTGTGAAAATTATCTATTTCATACAGTAATTAGAAAAAATATACCACCTTAGAATGTTACTGAGATACAAAGAAACAGCAATATAGTCTAAGCATGTACCACTCTTTAATAATATTTAACAGATATTTGTATCATTCTAGGCACACACACACATTCACACACACACAGGAGTGTAAGATACAATTCCAGATTCTAAAGACCTCACACTCTTGCAGGGAAACTCATCTGTGAAACTATTGTAAAATATATTGCTACTGTAAAAAACAGACACTATCTATTTTCTTTTTCAGAAAAGTAGGTGACAGGCTCAGAGGGAAAGAGGCATTCCTGCTGTGTCTTTACTTATCAGTTATATTCTTTTCGAAGGTCAAGTTGGGGAAAGAATCTCTAGGTCAAGGAAAAACTACAAGCAAATATACAGAATTATAAAGATGTATGCCATGCCTAGAAAATAGCAAGAAAAGAGGTTAACTTAGAACATACATTTATGGGTGAGACTGACAGACTGTGATACCAGAAAGATAGGTTGAGAACATATTATGAAAGGTTTGAATGCCATTTTGAGGTGTTAAATTTCTACTTATGGAATTCAGGAGTGGAAGAATTATGATCAGGTTATTTTATATAAGTTTGAGATATAAAATATTTTAGAGAAAATATAATATGGCATACACTAAATATACAATAATACATATTTATTATATATTATAAATATCAAATGTTATATAATAATATTGATAATATAACATTTTATAATATTAAGTAGGTTCAATATTCTATAGATAATTGCTGATATTAAGAAAAAAAATGGCCAGGTGTGGTGGTTCATGCCTGTAATCCCAGCACTTTGGGAGGCTGAGATGGGAGGATTGCTTTAGGCCAACCAGGAGTTTAAGACCAGCCTGGGCAACATAGTGAGACTTCTCCTCCACCACGTCTCCTAAAAAAAATTTTTTTTAAATTGTGTGGGTGTAATGGCATGCTTCTATTGTCTCAGCTTCTCCAGAATTCAAGGCTGCAGTGAAGTATGATCATGCCATTTAACTTCAGCCTCAGTGACAGAGAAAGACCCTGTTTCAAAAGAAAAAGAAAAGAGAGAGAAAAAAAATTACTAGAATGGGGCCGGGTGCAATGGCTCACACCTGTAATTCCAGCACTTTGGGAGGCCGATGCAGGTGGGTCACAAGGTCAGGAATTCAAGACCAGCCAGGCCAACGTGGTGAAACCCTGTCTCTACTAAAGATACAAAAAATTAGCCGGGTATGGTGGTGTGCACCTGTAATCCCAGCTGCTTGGGAGGCTGAGGCAGGAGAATCACTTGAACACAGGAAGCAGAGGTTTCAGTCAGCTGAGATCATGCCATTGCTCTCCAGCCTGAGCTGGGATCACGCCATTGCACTCCAACGTGGGCTACAGGATGAGGCTCATCTAAAAAAGAATTACTAGAATGTGAACAATATGTACTATTTCATTTTATAGAGAAAAACCATAAAATAATCTGACTTTGTACAACTAAAGTAAGACATATGAGACATTATTCATATGTCTTTCTATAACATAAAAATAACAATATAATAACATATAAAAACACTCATGATTTGCCTCTCTGTTTGTCTATTATTGGTGTATAGGAATGCTTGTAATTTTTGCACATTGATTTTGTATCCTGAGACCTTGCTGAAGTTGTTTATCCGCTTGAGGAGATTTTGGGCTGAGATCATGGGGTTTTCTAACTATACAATCATGTCATCTGCAAACAGAGACAATTTGACTTCCTGTCTTCCTATATGAATGCCTTTTATTTCTTTGTCTTGCCTGTTTGCCCTGGCCAGAACTTCCAATACTATGTTGAATAGGAGTGATGAGAGAGGGCATCCTTGTCTTGTGCTGGTTTTCAAAGGGAATGCTTCCAGCTTTTGCCCATTCAGTATGATATTGGCTGTGGGTTTGTCATAAATAGCTCTTATTATTTTGAGATACATTCCATCAATACCTAGTTTATTGAGAGTTTTTAACCTGGGGAGTGTTGAATTTTATTGAAGGTCTTTTCTGCATCTATTGAGATAATCATGTGGTTTCTGTCATTGGATCTGTTTATGTGATGGATTACATTTATTAATTTGCATATGTTGAACCAGCCTTGCATCTAAAACCATAAAAACCCTAGAAGAAAACCTAGGCAATACCATTCAGGACATAGGCATGGGCAAAGATTTCATGACTAAAACTCCAAAAGCAATGGCAACAAAAGCTGACATTGACTAATGGGATCTAATTAAACTAAAGAACTTCTGCACAGCAAAAGAAACTATCATCAGAGTGAACAGGAAACCTGCAGAATGGGAGAAAATATTTGCAATCTATCCATCTGACAAAGGGCTAATATCCAGAATCTACAAGGAACTTAAACAAATTTACAAGAAAAAAACAATCCCATCAAAAAGTGGGCAAAGGACATGAACAGACACTTCTCAAAAGAAGACATTTATGTGGCCAACAAACATGAAAAAAAGGCTCATCATCACTGGTCATTGGAGAAATGCAAATCAAAACCACAATGAGATACCATCTCATGCCAGTTAGAATGGCAATCATTAAAAAGTCAGGAAACAACAGATGCTGGAGAGGATGTGGAGAAATAGGAATGCTTTTACACTGTTGGTGGGAATGTAAATTAGTTCAACCATTGTGGAAGACAGTCTGGCGATTTCTTCAGGATCTAGTACCAGAAATACCACTTGACCCAGCAATCCCATTACTGGGTATATACCCAAAGGATTATAAATCATTCTGTTATAAAGATACATGCACATGTATGTTTATTGGAGCACTGTTCACAGTAGCAATGACTTGGAACCAACACAAATGCCCATCAATGATAGACTGAATAAAGAAAATGTGCCACATATACACCATGGAATACTATGCAGCCATAAACAAAGATGAGTTCATGTTCTTTGCAGGGACATGGATGAAGCTGGAAACCATCATTCTCAGCAAACTAACACACAGGAACAGAAAACCAAACATCTCATGTTCTTACTCATAAGTGAGAGTTGAACAATGAGAACACATAGACACAGGGAGGGGAACATCACACACCAGTGCCTGCCAGGGGGTGGGTGGCGAGGGGAGGAATAGCATTAGGAGAAATACCTAATGTAGGTGACAGGTTGATGGATGCAGCAAACCACCATGGCACGTGTATACCTGTGTAACAAACCTGCACGTTCTGCACGTGTATCCCATAACTTAAAGTATAATAATAAAAAAAGTTAATATTTATGTATCTATATACATTATTTATATTCTTAAATCTACACTGAGGCATTTTTTGTGCTTGTAATTTTCACTAATCAGAGGGCATTTTGATATATTTTTCTGCATCAGCTAGAACTTGGTTTCAATATGTTGAATGTACATAGTAGATATTGTTTGTTTGATCCTCCATGCTGGGTTAACTGTCTACTAATATTTGGGAAATTATCTGTTTTATAAACTTGACTTTGCCTCCCACTGGCAAAGCTACTTCTGCTGGCTCAATGCACATGTGGCCTGGCTCCTTGCCCAGAATATTGCACCTGGAGTCAGGGACCAAAGTATGCAGAAAGTAGGCACTGAGAGGTTTCATTGTTGCCGTTGTAATTGTTTGATTGTTGCATCTAAAGAGACAGTCACTAATGGAGCAGTTGCAAAAGTATACCAGCAGAGATATTCTCACTGCACTAGTACCTGTGCTATAATTTTTTGACCATAGATTGGACCTGACAGCCTTTCTTTCCATTCTAAGAGCCTGCTTCTTTCAAGCTCCTAGGCTTTTAGCAATTCTGTCAGCTACCCATCATCTTTTCCAAACATTTGTTTCCTGCATATTTCCTTCATAGGCACATTTTACTGCTTGTAAATTAGGTCTCTAATGCAAGATGTGCCAATTATTTGAAAGCAGGGGTGATGGCATTTACCTTACCAATCATTAGCACAAAATCTGGCAGTGGTCATGCAACTGTTATTGAAAACATATATTTAATAAATTAATAAATAAATGATAAGCATTAAAATGACATTTACATTTTGAAGATGAAGAATAATTTTTGCAGGTTGCTTTACTAGATTCTTGGAAAGATTTGAGTAAAAGAATGTATAAAGAATTTTGGGGTCCAGTGAGGTATCTAAAAGCTTCCAAAGTAGAAATAGCAGCATCTTTGAGTGGAAGACCTTTTGACGAGCTATTTAGTTTGATTATCCTTGTTCTACATAATTTGGGCATCCTGTGAGTAAGTGCCATATGGTGTCAATAAATAAGCCTTTAGTGTGTTTCACTTATCCTCCACAATGTATATAAAAAGGTCAATTAACCCTAATTAAGTCTTTCTTTTCTTTGGTTAGGATGTACGTGTTTTTCCAATCAAGCACCCAGTGAGATTTGGTAGTGTTTCTACATGGTTGATTAAGGGCATGTCAAAGGTATAAGTGAGGAGAAAAGTTTAAATGTCTTTCTCTGTTAAAAACAAACAAACAAAAAACAGTATCAACAACAACAAACATATCGGGATTTTTTTTGCAGGGTATTATCACCCTTTTATTGCATCAATTCCTTGTCAAAATCTTGTTTTCAAACTCCTGTAACTCACTTCACCTGGGTGGATAGATTATAAGAACACAGGAAGCGGAACATCACACACCGGGGACTGTTGTGGAGTGGGGGGAAGGGGGAGGGATAGCATTGGGAGATATACCTAATGCTAAATGACGAGTTAATGGGTGCAGCACACCAACATGGCACATGTATACATATGTAACAAACCTGCACGTTGTGCACATGTACCCTAAAACTTGAAGTATAATAATAATAAAATTAAAAAAGAAAAAAGAACAATCTAGAATAGGGACATACCAAATCTGTTCCTTAGGGGCCACTGCCTGACATTCCAAGGCTCAGCACAAATCCACAACAGTATACAGTATGGGTTAAGGTGTACATATTGAGAAAGGACCAAGATGCAGGCTGCTGGGGACTAAATTCCAGCCTGTAAGGTACACAGGATTTTTTTTTTTATGGTAATCTGAAAGAAATCTGGTAGAGCACTATGATCATCTCCTACATTCCCTTTCTAAGATTTTGAGGGAAAAGTCACTTCACTGAAACATATGCAATAGAAAGCATTATATTCAAACCGCATAATGAATTATTATCAGAAACAAAAATTGAGCAGGAAAATCCAATTATAGACAAATGTGCACCCTGATCTGAATAAACAATTTTGGGGAAGCTGAAATTTCCCCAAAGGAGAGTAACTATACAAACGATGATTCACCAATTTCATATAATATTTTGCAGCCATTAGCAATGATAGTTTGAAGCTTAGCCAACAAATTGGAAATGCTTAAGATATTAATTTATGTGAAAATGATAAGCAGAATGTCTATTACACATACATATAAAATACACATATTCATGTATAGGTAGATGTATAGTACCTTTCATGTATAACATGCATATGTACATGTATGCTATCTTTTATGTATAATCATGTAATAGTCATTCTGCTTATCATGTTCACTTATTAATACATTATTTACATATGTATTACTATACATATATATAGAATGATCAAGAATAAAATACTCATTTTTCTAAAGTGATAAAATTGTGAATGATTTTCTTCCTTGTGATTCCTGATTTCATATTTTTGACATACTTTCTTCAATAAAAATATATTCCTGCAATAAAATAAATGATTAATGAATTGACTTTTTTTCTTTTTTTTTTTTGAGACACTCTCACTCTGTCACCCAGGCTGGAGAGCAGAGGCATGATATCGGCTCACTGCAACCTCTGCCTCCAGGGTTCAAGGGATCATCCCGCCTCACCCTCCTAAGCAGCTGGGACTACAGGCGTATACCACCAAGCCCAGCTAATTTTTGTAGTTTTAGTAAAGACGGGGTTTTGCCATGCAGTCCAGGCTGGTCTCAAAGGATCCACCAGCCTGGGCCTCCCAAAGTGCTGGGATTACAGGCATGAGCCACCGTGCCTGGCCTGAATTGACTTTTAAAGTCTTTTGCACCCTGATTTACATTTCTTTTGCCTTCAATGGGGACAGTATAGTATAAAAAGGACAGAATTTTAAAAGTCAGAGTTGGTTACAGTCTCAGATCAGCCATTATTTTAAACCTCAGTTGTGAAAGTCATAATATAATTTAACCTTTTGATCATGATGAGTTTCTGAGTGAAGACATAGTACCACTCAAAATCTTAGGATTTTTTTTACAGGTCATTTTGCATCAAATTGACACAAAATGGTATATTTAAATTATCTTTCTCATATTCTTTTTAAAATTTTTAAAAATTTTCTCTTAGTTCTCAAATTTTAGAAACTTTATTCTCATTTTTTACCATTTATATAATTATATTAAAAATCAAACCAAAGTATAATGTCTGAAATTTAAGTAAAGCTATTCTCATTCATTCATTTCTTTTTCATTTATAAAACATTTGTTGGTCTTTATTACTTTCCATACACAGATTTCTGCAGGGTATGTAATTCATTTTCATCAGATTCTCCTTGCAGTCCTTCTGATAATAGGAAATGGATTAAGAAGAGTTATATCCTTCACAGTCATTTTCAGTGGTGAAAATCCAAGTTGGGGACTAAATATGGTCTTTTTATTCTTTATCATTTTAGTGCTGAGTAAATTAAAGCTGTCCTCATTCTTCTGCCACATTAAAATCTCTCAGCCTGTCTCTTTCAAAGGATAAATGATATTTTGAAACATAGAATTTGCTTTGGCCTGCAATTTAATCAGCTCTCCAAATCCTGCCAATCACCTTAGGACTAAAACAGTTTTTCTGTTCAGAACATAATAGTGTTCTGTTTAGTGTCTGTTCATGCCATTATAAGTCAAGACTGAGTCCTTTGTAGCTCTCTACAATAAGAGGACTTAACGGAGATCTCAATTTTATTCTGCTTCCCTCATTGTAAACAACTTTAGACTCAAAATGACCCCTCACTTTAAACTGGATACAGATATACTCTTCCCTAGACTCTGTGATTGGCTGTCAAGAAGCTGAACAGGCAACTCTAAACTCATCCTTATAATCCCATTATCTTCCTCTTCATATTTAAGAGTCTACTTTTAGATCTGCCCGAGAGTGCCATTCTGCTAAAACCCCATACAGTATACACTGCCTCTAATTATATATTACAGCAGAGGAGAGTGTTTCTAGGTAAATAATTGGCTAACGGGTACTGATTGCTGTTAATTAAACTAGATGGACATAGCTTTCTTAGCCTACTTCCTACATTTTTCTGAAAAATCTCAGTTTCTAACTAAATTTAAACATCTATAAATGTATAAAAATTAAGACAGAAAAATGTTAACAGATTAATTCATTAGTAGTCACACTTTCCGTGTAACCTACATATCGCCCCTTCAACCCATACTCCAAGCCCTTCTATTCTGCTCCACTTTTTCTCTTTTCCATAGTATTTATCACATTTAATATTCTAGACAATGTTCTCTTATTTGCTTATGTTTCATTGTATTCTCTCTGTTAGAAATTATGCCACACAAAGATCAAGAACTTCATCCCTTTTACTCACTGATATTTATTCATTGATATATGCCAACTGCCTAGAACAGTGCACATAGTACAATGGATACTCAATAATCCCCATTGAGAACTAGTATATATGTATTTTTTGTTTCATTTGGTAGGAAGGAGAACAGAAAATGTTGTGTTTAGACACTATATTTTCTTTCATTCGGGTTATTTGCAGTTTTTCGCTTTGTCCTCTATTTGTCAGCATGTTATACTCACATATAGTCTAGGACCTAAATAGATAGCTTCTTCACATGAGTTACATGATTCTTGGTTATTGAACCTAACTGGATGGAATAGTCAAAGTGACTCACGGTATACCATGTTTACAAATAAAGGTGACATACATCATACAAAGAAGGTAAATAGCTCAAGTGAAGCTTTTAGCAAAATTTTAATATAAGAATATTTTGTCTTGGGCTTTCTTGTTTTCTCTTTTTCTGGTTCATCGCCACTATGGCAATGTCCATCTTCTCCACACTTACATACATGCATTCCATTTTTATCCACTATAAAAATGGTCTCTCAGAAAATGCTCTTAAATACCCATGGAACACAAGGGTGCAAAAAGTCATAAAATTTTAACTATAACCCCCCTAAGAAGAAACTTCATTTTCACCCAAAACAAAGCCTTAAATCAAAGGGGTGAAATGAGAAATGTCTATTGATGGAGCTTAAAATATATAAATGAGGAAACAAAATATTTTGGCAGAATGTTCATACCATTGACCCTGAAATCATTTAAATCAGAGATCAACTAATTGAGATTCCAATCCTACCAATCTCCTCACCCCATCCTCAATGTGATTCGTAACACAGTGTTATTCTCCTTTAAATTACTACGGTTCTTATATTTTGAACTGCACTTGGCAGAGTCACTTTAACATAACACATGAGAAAAGACAAGCAGAAAGCTATGTGTCCTATATTGTGCTCAGCATCCTTCCCTCTTTTAATAAACCTAGTTTTTCTCTCAGCAGGTTGTCCAGTAATCCATTATTAGTTAAAGGCACTAAACCTTCCAGAGAGTTTCAATTTTATAGAGCACTCCTGAACAAGAAATTGATTTTCAACACTGGAATTTCCAGAAATCAGTGAGAATTTAGGATCAGAGTGTCTATAGGAGTCAAAAAGGCTATTAACATTTCTGTTTTCTGCACACAGAGGAAAAAATGTTTGGTCAATGTGTAGAAATTCTTCCTATTTTTAAATCAAGAATTGCCTTCAATCTGTAAAATGAAAAGCACTATATACATCCTGGCTAATATTATTAACAATAATTACAGTGCCTCTATGCCTTTGCATATAGTATTTTCTCAATCGGGAATTTTCACTGTACCTCTTTTTAACTCTGTTAAAGGGCTCCCTGTTCAAATATTTATTACTGAATAAGAGGTTTCCTCAACTGTATACATCGATCTGTCACCCTCTAGCATTCTTATTTGTTAAATAATCCTTTTGGAACTTTATCCTGAGATATTTTTATTGAAACTAATGGTTTAGTCAATATAAGGATAATGTATACTTAAAATACGTTCATTGCTTCAGGAAAATTATTTTTAACATGATAGGTACTCATAGAGTATTGATTTAATTACTTTCTGTAATTTTAATTCTTGTACATGTAGGTAAGTTTGTAGTGCATGTATGTAATATCTCATAAGACTCTATTTTATTTCAAGGGTCAGAGACATCTATCTATTATATATCTTTATATACACCATAGTTCCTAACTCAATAATGCATATATAAATGTAATAAACCTCTAATGAGAGAATGAATCTCCTGAATGTAATCTTTCAGGATGTGGTTATTCCTAAGCAATGTATATCTTTCAATTAATTGTAATGCAACAGGGACCACAGATTGGTACCACACCAGAACTCTGTGAAATTAATAATCTAATGCAGTGCCATGCAGCTCTTTTATGACCTTGTTTACTTTGGGATCCTGTGTTACTAGACTACAGTGAGTAGAGCTAAATAAGGCTGTGGGATAAATTATTAGTATCCTGTCCATCAATTTCCTGTTTGTAAATTGTTTATAATGCCATTGATCTGATGTTCACAGGTTACTAGAATGAATATCCATAAATCCATGATCCCTGAAACCTGCAGACATTTTCTGATTGAAGAGAGGATGTGCATTGCACGAGTGTTCCCTGACCATTTAATACAAATTGGCTAAGGATTTTATAGAACCCACAATTTTCTACAAATATCACAGAGACTTTAGATTTTGTGAATCCATCTTTATGTTCCACAAAAACACATTATGCTACATTTTATTTTGTGGATTGTACACATCGGTCAATTAATTAAGCATTTGTTAGTATCTAGAGTGCCTTTGTGTCAGATTCTGTTCCAAGCACGGAATATATCTATGATCAAAAGAAATTGTTATTCTTTTGAAGCTTTAATGTAGGGGAAGATAAATAACAAATTTAAAATATTATGGTAAATATCACATAATAATAAGCTCTATAAAGAAAATAAAGCAAAGGAATGGGGTGAGAACTGGAGATGGGTCTGAGAAAGTGACATTTGAGTAGAAATTTGAATGAATTTAGGGAGTAAGCTAAGTGGAATCTGGGAAGAGAAACTTCCAGCAGAAGAAATAGTAAAGGAATAACTCTAGATAGATTCTTATTTAGAATTTGGTAAAATAAGAGGAGGATCAATATGGTGAAGCTGGTGTATGGCGAATAGCGAAGACAATGTTAAATGGCCAAGCTCAAATCATAGAGATTATATGGGTCATAGATAGGAATTTGGATTTCATTCTGAGTGTACCTGGAATATATTCAAGTGAGAAATCAAGGATGAATTCCAAGTATTTTGGCTTTAGCAACTGGGTCAATGAAAGTGTTATTTACTGAGATAAGAAACACCATAGGAAGGACAGGTTTTGAAGGGGAAATCAGGAGTTTGGTTTTGGACGTGACACATTTAGGATGTCCATTGGAATTCCCAGTGAAGATCTCGGTAGGCAGATAGTGATATTGCAAGGTTAGAACTATGGTGAAGTCAGTGAAGCACTCATCTCAGATACAAAATTTAAGGAAGCACCAAAAAACTGAGTAATCAAGATTAAAAATATTTCAATGTGATATATCTTAAAAATCAAAATTAATGCCAAAAAATCCATGGTGAAAAAAAAATTTCATTTATAATTTGTTTGGTAGCAGGACGTTGGCCCCCATTATCTTTACTCTCTTGTTTTTCATCTGTAAATATATTACCTCACGTATGAAAAGGTACTTTAAAATAATATTTGTTAATCAGTTGCTCTTAAAATAGGGAAATCATCCAGGATTGTTCAGTGGTCCCTTTGCACTATTATGAACTTTAAAAGCAGCAGAGGAAGGCAAAATAGTCAGAACGTGTGGTGGAAGAAAATGCAGGAGAGATCTGAGAGACTGAAAGATAAAATTGGCTATCTTTGGCTTTGAGAATAAACCAGGATGAGTCATCAGCCAGAGAATGCCAAGGGATGACCTCTAGAAGGTAAGAACAAACACTGGGCGACAGCAAGCAAGGAAACAGGGTCCTCAGCCCTGCAACTTCAAGAAACAAAATTCTTACAACAACAACCTGAACGAGCCTGGAAGTGGATTCTCCCCTAGAGCCTCCAGGCAAAAAAGCCCAACTGCCATCTTGATTTTAGCCTTGTACCTGGAACAGAGAAACCAGATGAGGCTATTGGATTTCTGACCTAGAGACTTGTGAGATACGAAATTTTTGGTGGTTTTTAGTTTTGTTTTAAAACAGTAAGTTTGTGGTAAGTTGTGACAATAACAATAGAAAACTAATACAAAGTCAACATTACTAATTTTTCCTTTTGCCTCAGGCTCAAAGATGGTTTGGTACTATACTTTAAATCTGTCTTAACTGGGGGTTTAAATTTGAGATTTATTATGTATACATGGTATTTCAAACCAGGGCTATATATGACTACTAAGGAGTGAGTGAATGTAGAACAAAGAAAAGCTCTAAGGACTGAACTTTACACTATACTAAAATGTAATAATTCAGCAAGAGGAGGATCCAGAAAAAAAAAAAAAAAACTAAGAAATGTAATCCAAGAGGGCAAGAAAAAATACATTATATTATCCCGGTTTCTGATATCTTCTTATAGATCAAATCACCTAATATCTGGTTTCTACCATTATGAATAATGTTTAAATATAGAGTTGTGTATTTCCATGGAAGATTAAAATATATGCTATGAATCACTTGATTTTTAACTTATTTTCTAGAGAAAGTAACTATGCATGTTTAATTCACCCATCCCTATTTAATTTATATTATTTTGAAAAATTGGTTATCTACTAAACTGTACTCCACAAAAGGTAAAATAGATATGGTTCCTTACCTAGTGTCATTACTCTCCTTTAGAATTTTCTTTTTAACTCATGTTACTAGCAAGAATATCCTTAAATAAACTATTAAAATATTTGTGTTATATTTTATGGTTTTTTCATTTTAATACTTTAATATAATCCATAAAATATGAGGCTTCACAAGACAACTTTTGAATTAAGGGTATTAAATGCCTCTATGATATTAGGTGTAAAAATATTGCAAGGTAAATTAAAGGATAAATCTCTGCAGAGTTACAGCCAACACATGAATTAGTAACACAGAGAAAATATTGTAATAATTATCATTTTAGATCTGGGTCAATCAGGAGTCTGCATTCTCACCAGAAACTAAAATAGTATATAAACATCATATAGTGGTGGTATTAGGTAAATCAGAGAGATACAAACAGATACAGTGGCACATAAAAACACCACCACATTTAAAACTCAAATTTAATAGTTGTGGAATATATTGAAGACATAAAGAACCTCTCTACCACATTAGTTTTGTGCAAATTGAAATCAGAGTTAAAGAAAGTGGGAAAATTTAGTGGGAGTCGAATTTGTAGAAAATCTACTGCATAGTAAAAACTGAGCTAATCACATTTTACCATATTCAAGAAACTTGAAATTGAAAATTGGAGAGGGCATTGACGAAGACTGAAATTAGTCTGAAATTAGTAGTAAACACCCTGATATAATGAAGGGTGATGACACTAACTGGGATTTATAGAATGTCTAATATATAAGAACCTTAATGGAATCACATAATATGATCTTTCATGACTGGCTTCTTTCACTTAGTATAATTTTCATGGTTCTTTTATGTCGAAGCATGTAACAATACTTTTTTTTTCTTTTAAGCTGTGATATTTGCATTTATTTATTAATAGCTATTAAAAGGTTTATATATTCTTTTTAAAATTAAGTTCACAACAAAGTTGACCAGAAAGTACAGAGTGCCCTTATCTCTCTGTCCCTCTTTCTTCTCCACACACAACCTCCCCCATTATCCATATCCTTCACCACATTTGTTACAATCAGCAAACCTGTATTGACATATTATTATCACCCAAAGTTCATGTAGTTTACAGTTTGCATTAGAGTTCCCTCTCAGTGTTGTACATTCTATGAGTTTTGGCAAATGTATAATGATACATATCTACACTCGTAGTATAATATGGAATACTTTCATTGTCTTAAAAATCTGTGTACTTCCTATTTTCTTCCTTTAGCCCCTTGGAAACCAGGAATCTTTTTATTGTCTCTATAGATTTGCTCTTTCCAAAAAGTCATATAGTTGGAATCATACAGTGCACAGCCTTTTTAGATTGGCTTCTTTCACTTAGTAGTTATGTGGGACTGCTGCACCTACTGAGTGCGCTAAGGAGGCTGCAAATACTTAATAGCGCTAAGTACAACTCAGTTTCACATAGTAGTACTAATTTAAGGTTTCCTTATCTATTTTTATGGCCTGATAGCTCATTTCTTGTTAACATTGAATGCATACACACAAACACACACGTACTTCTCTCTCTCTCTCCATATATACATATATCTACATATATATCTCTCTACATATATATATCTACATATATATGAACATATATATCTACATATATATGAACATATATATCTACATATATATGAACATATATATCTACATATATATGAACATATATATATCTACATATATATGAACATATATATATACATATATATGAACATATATATGAACATATATATACACATATATATGAACATATATATATACATATATATGAACATATATATTCAATATATACATGAATATATATAAAATGAAATATATATTCATTATCAGTATGTACAAATTTTTTATTCATTACTCATATAATAAATCTTCATTACTACCAGTTTTTGGCAATTATGAATAAAGCTACTATGAACATTCATGTGCAGATTTTTGTGTAAAAATAAGTTTTTCATTTCTTTGAGTAAATATCAAGAAGTATGATTGCTGGGTTGCATGGAAAAATATATTTATTTTTGCAATAAACTGCCAAAGTGTGTTTCAAAGTGATGGTAGCATTCGGCATTCTCACCATCAATGACAGAGTTCCTGTTGCTCCGTGTCCTCAACAGCATTTAGTGTTTTCAATGTCAGTACTTCTTTTCATTACCATATAATATTCCTTTGTGTGGATATACGAATTTTATATATCCATTCATTATTGATGGGGTTTCAGGTTGTTTTCGTTTTTGGCTTTTATAAATAAGGGTGCTATGAACATTCATGTTCACGTATTGTGCAGTCAGGTTTTTATTCTCTTGATTATGCTTCTAGCAGTAAAATTGCTGTGTCATATGTTAACTCTGTTTTTCAAAGTGGATGCCTCTTTTTACATTCCTGCCAACAGTGTATAAGTCTTCAGTCTTGTTTGTTATAGGCATGATACCGTGTCTGAAGTGGTATTGATTTGCATTTTCCCTGATAACCAGTGATGTTGAACATCACTATGCATGTTTATTGGCAACCTGCATACCTTCTTTGGATAAATGTCTACTCAAGTCGTTTTTCCCGTTTTTAATTGGGCTTTTTGTCATTTTATCGTTGTATTACAAGAGTTATTTATACATTCTGGATATAAGTACCTATTTCCATGTTATGGATTTTATTTTTACTTTCTTGAGGGTATCTTTTTCAGAAGAATTTTATTTAAAAATGTGTATACATTCCAATACACCATTTTTTTTTCTGTTGTTACTTGTGATTTTGGCAGGATATGTAAGAAATTATTACCTAATCCAGGTCACGGAATTTATGCTTATGATTTTACTTTTAGTTTTATAACTTTAGCTTTGAAATTTCAGTCTTTGAATCATTTGAGTTAATTTTTGCATTTGGAGTGAGTATACTATGCACTAAATGTTCATATTTTCCAAAAATTCATGTTGAAATCCTAACCTCCAATGTGATATTATTAGGAGGTAGGACCATTGGGAGGTAATTTTGCCAGAAATGAAAAGAAATGGCAGCTTGTTTGCACCTGCTTTGATGTCTACTGGCAAGACTTAGTTCAAAGACACATGATTATAGGAGTTCTACAATTCAATCCCAACTATTAATAAAAGGGTCATTTGTTTTGTTTTGATTTGATTTGGGTTTTTTCTTTTTTGATAGGTCATAATTTTATAAAATAAATTCTGAATGGCACTGCTAAAATTCAACAAAATCCCCCAGCACTTCTGCTTCCTCCCATGTATTCTAATAGAATGCTATTGTGATAGAATAACTTATTCTATCAACAGAAGGTTGGGCAGATTCAGGCAGCATGCACTTAGGCGATTCTGCAGCATGGAAGCAATTTTACTTGATGAAATACTGAAGACGCCTCTTTCACAGAAAATTCGCCAGGAAAGGTTCTGTATGTTATCCATTGATAATGCGGTTGTGAGTGACCTGTAGTCAGTCCATCAAGCGTTCATTTGAAGGTCTACATTTCCACAAGGAATGTTCTTCCTTCTCTTCAAATTGATAATTAGTTCGATGTCTGTGTATTATTCCTTGTAGACCTATTAATTTAAGTTTACCGCTACTTAGGAAAAGAATTACTGCCTTTAAAAGCAACTGTATTAAAATGGGGAGAATGTTATTCAAAAATAGAGAATCCCCTAAGGAAACATTAGGATTAATTAAATAAAGGAATAATATATAAGTGCTAGTCAATACTACATAATAGTGCTATTTCAGACAGTGGGTATTGACTTGTAGGACTGTGAATTCTTAGTTTTAATATAAGATTTTATACATCATAAAAACATATATTAATCAACTGTGTTCATTTCTTTCATCTTTGGGACATTCCTGTGATCCTGTCAAAATGTTATTCTTCCCCCTGATTATCAAGGTTTTATCAATACCCTAAAAATGGGATTGGGAAATACTTTAGGCAGTCAAATGTGACAAGTTAATTTGGTTTTCACATTTACAGCTATATCATCAAAAAAATAAACCTGCTTTAAACTGTGGGAGAATGGCAGTTTACAACTGCATTAAAAATACCAAAACGAATGAATTCCATTACTCAAGACACAGTCCTGACAGGTCTGTTGTTGCTATTTTTTCCAAGTGCCTGTCAATATCATCTGTCCTGACTTGGACTCTACTCTTTGTTGTCTGTATTAATTCCTTCAATGTCCATTCCAAGGAAACTCCATTTCTAAATAAAAGTGTAACTCAAAATTATAACTTTCTTTTTTTAAAAAAAAATTATAGTTGAAAAGGCGTGACTACTCTTTAAGAGACAATTTTCCAATCCCGTTCTTTTCCTTTACATTTGTATACCCTATGGTATACAGCAGGTAAGTACATACATAAATAAAAGACTTGAAAAATAAAACTTGAAATGTGTCTTTTGGATTGTTTAATGAACAATAAAACACAGCTTTCTGGGGGATTCATGACGATTTGCCCTTTAAATAAATTTTTTCTTACTTTTTTCACATATAACAGTTTTTAAATTCATCTTTCAATAAAACATTGTTATGGAGTTACACTGCTTCGTGTTGAATCCTGGACCAGCACTTCTTAGCTGTGTGGTTATTGGCATGTAATTTACCCCATAGTCGCTCATATTCCTATTCTGTATACAGTTCTTTCATAGGGTTTTGCTTAAAATATTAAATATTCAATTAATACACCTAGAAGAAGCATATTCTAAACCTCTACATAAGTTTTATAAAATAATGTAATCCGCTTTAGGGTTTATCAGTTATAAGGTTCACAAATACCTGTTTTGAATTTTTGGTGTATTTTTATCCTAAAAAGCCATTTTAGTCTCTAAGATTGGTAAAGCTTTTACAGCTTATACATTGTTAGACTTAATTTACATTCTTTTTAATGTAAGGATTATGACCACTCTTGATGCAGATATTATAGTCCTATATTTAAAAAGAGAAATTTGAGACCACAGGATGCTCTAGCATGAAAGTGTATCAAAAACATCCATTCTGTTTGGCATTGTTTGTCCACAATAACAAGCAAATGCAGTGAGAAAGATGAATAATAATTACCACTGACTGAGCTAAACATGGTACATGCAT
The DNA here is from genome assembly GCF_000001405.40 of Homo sapiens. Classification (NCBI taxonomy): domain Eukaryota; kingdom Metazoa; phylum Chordata; class Mammalia; order Primates; family Hominidae; genus Homo; species Homo sapiens. The sequence continues at coordinate 145,992,412 of NC_000007.14, forward strand.
TATTTTTCATCTTAGCAGCAATTCAATAAGATTATTTGTTATTATAGCTACCTTCATAGAGATGAGGAACCTGAGGATTTATAGGGGGTAACTACAATACCCAATAAGCGACTGAAAAGGAACAAAAACCCAAATATCTTGATTCCGATGCACTGATCTTTACCTCCACCCACTGAACCAAAATACTTTCTAAAAAACGATAAATGATTCCTGTTAAACCAATTGAGCCACTCTAGTGGCATCACAGCTTATTAAGTATACAGCTTATTAAGCCAAAACATAATAAGCATAATTCTTAGTGACTAAACACATTTATAGTATGTAATGTATATAGATGAATGACTTCCTGTATTCTTGGACCTTTATTTTCTGTCACTCTGATATTAATTTTGAGAATTGCGACCCAACACCTTTCTCATGTTTTTTCTAAAACTGTGTCAACCGTTATCTCATGTATACACGCACAATGCGCCATCAGTTAAATACATATATATGTTTAATTGCATGCCATTTGCCATATTATATTTACAATGTTTGTATTAAGGACTTTGTGATACCCTATAGTTGAAGTTCTAGTTCTATGTACATGTAAGCAATAAATTCTGTATTGATTACTTCTTAATATATCATCATATTATCCTCAAGAATTCATTTTTAAGTGATTTTTATAAACAAATAAAAATTTTAATATCAAATAGTTATAGAGAGTTCTTTTGACTAAACAGAGAATGATGCTTAAACAAAGGAAACAAATATACTGACACATTTTTGAATACATAAGTTGATATTCATATTGATTAAGAAAAATATTCAGGGCACCTTTTGTTTTAAATAGAGCTATCATATTTGAAATATGTATTGCTTATCAAAACAATTCAAATAATTAAATGAAATAAGTTCCTAGACTAAAAATAAAATGTTGAAATTTGATAGTTTAAATATGTAAAATATTATAAACATTGTAAATATTCAGTGCTGTGTGAGAGAACATTTTAGCCAATCCTTTTAATAAAAGACAGTAACAATGTCTCATATATCTGGGTCTAATTGAATGATTGGTTTTGCCATAAGTAAATACTTGTATAACCATAATACCCTTTTGACTGAATTTATATTGTTAGACTTGTCCAGACATAGCAAAGTAAATCTAATCATGGTTAAAGAATAAAGTGTAAGCATTACAAGTCAAAAATCAGTAAAATTGCCAATATTTTAGAAAAGAAGAGGTCAGAAAGAAGTGATTTCTTCATCCTTTCAACTTGGGAGCTAAAAACACAATACCTGAAGTTGAGAAATCAAAAAAAAATTTAATTCATAAAATCTAGTAATAGAATAAAATAATTTCAATTAAAAACTTGAAGTGAATTGATGGTAAAATTGATTTAATTCCTGTTATTTAAAATGAGGAGTGAATTAAATTCAACTCCAGTAGATAAATAAAAAAATTGACAAATAAGTATATTATTTAAATTTATAAAGGCAAATACCAGAGACACCAAAATCTAGTCACTATTAACAATGATTACTTCTGATGAGCTAAAGTGGAAGAAAGGGCAAGGATCAGTGATTATTCAATTAAGACAATTCTAGATAGATTTCTGTTTTGTTCTTGCTGATGTTTTGGATCATAGTAGGTAATGTTAAAACTAATAATAATAACAATTTCTGTTTCCAAATAGTCTTTGTCACAAATTTAAACCACATTTGTTAAGATTGCTTTATAGAAGTTTTCCAAAAATCCCCCTTATTTGGCTTTATGGAGAAAGGCAGAGCAAAATAATAGTTTGAAACAGATCATATACATATATATGTGTATATATGTGTGTGTGTGTGTATGTGTGTGTGTACACATACACATATATAGTTTTACTGTGTTTTAATTTCATATATATATTCATCTGAATATTAAAGACATGAATTTGAAGAAAATGTATTGTTATTTTTTAATTACCACAAGTATATTATTTGATATGCTTCTTAAAGCATCTATTGTAGACATATAAAGATATATATGTAATTGTGTGTTAAACATTATTTGACTACTTCAGGTATACCTAAGAAAGATGCTGATTAACTTCCCAAAGAAATAACTGCCTAACAAACAATATTTTTTACACTGAAGTGAAATTCACATAACATAAAATTAACCATTTTAAAGCGTACAAGTCAGTGTCATTTAGTATTAATGCATCCTCAATTTTATTCAACCACCACCTTTATCTGGTTTCCAAACCTTTTATTCACTACAAAGAAAACCTCATACTCATTACACAGTAACTCTTCATTCACCTTTTCCTCCCAGTCTTAGGCAAAACCAATGTACTTTCTGACTCTGTGGATTTACCTACTCTGGATATTTCATAGAAATTGAAATGAATTAATACAATATGTGTTACCTCCTCCTCCTCCTTCTCTTCTTCCTTCCTTCTTCCTTCTTCCTTCTTTCTTCTTTTCTTCTTCCTTCTTCTTCTTCTTCTTCCTCCTCTTCTTCTTCTTCTTCTTCTTCTTCTTCTTCTTCTTCTTCTTCTTCTTCTTCTTCTTCTTCTTCTTCTTCTCCTTCTCCTTCCCCTCCTCCTCCTCCTTCTCTTTCTCCTTCTCCTTCTCCTTCTTCTTCTATTTTTTTTTCAAGATACAGTCTGGCTCTGTCATCCAGGCAGAAGTGCAGTGGCACAATCTTGGCTCACTGCACCCTTAACTTCCCATGCTCAAGTGATCCTCCTGCCTCAGCTTTCCAAGTAGCTGGGGCAACAAGCACACACCACCCCTCCTGTCTAATGTATATTTTTAAAATATTTTGTATAAACGAGGTCTCCCTGTGTTGCCCAGGCTGATCTTGAATTCCTGGCCTCAAGCAATCCTTCCACCTCAGCCTCCAAGAGTGTTAGAATTACAGGTGTGAGCCACCACGCCTAGCCTGGCTGCTTTCACTTAGCATGACATTTTAAATTTTCATCTATGTTATAGCATGTTTCATAGTACATTGTTTCCTTTTTATTGAAGAGTTGTATTCCATTGTATGTATATATCACATTTATTTATTAATTTATCCTATGATGGATATTGGCTTGTTTCTGCCTTTTCGCTATTGTGAATAGTGCTATAATCACCATTTTTGTACAAATATTTGTACTTAGAGGTGGAATTACTGGGTTATATGGTAATTATATGCTTAGTTTTTTGAAGAACTGTTTTCCACAATGACTGGACCACTTTACATTTCCACTACCAGTATACTAGGGTAACAAATTTTTCACATCCTCATCAAATTAATATTTGCATTATTTTAAACTACAGGCATTCTAGAGAGTATGAAGTAGTTTCTCATTGTGGTTTTGATTTGTGTTTTCCTAATGACTAATATTGCTGAACATTTTTTCTCATGCTCTTTGGCCATTTGTTTATCATTTTTAGAGAAATGTCTGCTTGGGTACTTTACCCATTTTTTAATCAGGTTGTTATTTAGTTGTAACTGTTCTCTATCTTGGATATTAGAACCAACCCATTTTGTAGGTTGTCTTGTCACTTTTTTGATATGTCCTTTGGTATAAAAGTTTCTAATTTTGATAAAGTCCAATATCTCTATTCTTCTTTTGCCACGTGTGGTTTGGGTGTCATATCTAAGAATCCGTTGCCAAATCTAAATCATGAGAAGTACCTCGACATTTTCTTCTAATATTTTTATAGTTTTAGTTCTCACATATAGGTTGTTGGTGCCACTTGAGTTAATGCTTCCAAATCGTGTGAGGTAGGAAACCAACTTTATTCTTCTGCGTTGGGAAACCAGTAGTTCCAACATTATTGGTTGAAAATCCTACCATTTCTCTATTAAACAGACTTGACAGATTGGGAAAACTTAACTTTTTTTCTGCTATTTGTTTCTAGCTTCATTCCGTTGTGGTTGGGGAAAATACTTTTTATTATTTCAGTCATTGTGGAATTTATGGTGACCTGTTTTGTAACCTAACATATGGTCTATTTGTGAGAATGTTACATGTGCTCATGAGAAAAATGTATATTCTGCTGTTTTTATGTGCAATGTTCTACATGTATCTGTTAGACTTCATTGGCTTATAGTGTTTCAAGCCCTCTATTTCCTTATCAATATTCTGTCAAGTTGTTCTATCCATTTTTGAAAGTTGTTCTTAAAGTTGCCAATTATTATTATAGGACTATTTTCCTCTGAAGTTTTGTCAACATTTGCTTCATATATTTTTGGGCTTATTTATTTGGTGGTCATATAAGTATTATATCTTTCCAATGAGTTGAAACTTTTATCAGTATACAACAACCTTCTTTGAGTCTTGCACCATTTCGATGATGTCTCTCTCCACACAGTAGTTTGAGGTAAACAATGGGACGAGGGTAATGAGAAGACATGTAAATATTCTATTTTTTTTCCTGGCTGTATTTGTAACCAACTATTTTTTAGGCTGCTTAGTTTAAATATTCTAACCAAAAAATTAGAGAGAACAATATAACTTTTAATGTGGTACTTCAGAAATAAGTTATTTGATGATATAATGAAAAATATTTTTTATTGTTGTTATTTTTGAGGTGGAGTCTTGCTTTGTCACCAGGCTGGAGTGCAGTGGTGTGATCTCATCTCACTGCAATCTCTTCTGGGGTTCAAGAGATTCTCCTGCCTCAGCCTCCCCAGTAGCTGGATTACAGGTGCACGCCACCACACTCATCTATTTTTTGTATTTTTTTCCTGGGAAAATTTTGTGAGGAATCAATTTATGCATTTATTCTGCAAATATTTGTCCAGCACTTATTAACTGGAAATTCATTAATGAGAAAACACCCTTTATTTTATTTACATTCTAGACATGGGAGACAAATAATAATAAGGTAAAAAATAAACTATACAATATATCAAATTATACAAAGTGCAAGGAGAAAAATAAAATAATAAAGGAGGTTAACATAAAGCACCCAACTTACACTTAGGAGATTTCAACTTAACTTGACCGCTCTGAGCTAAACCTAGCCCCAAACCCACTCCACCTTACTACCAAACAGAGTGTGAGAATGAAAGAAATGCAACTTTCAATCACTAAGAAGGTGATTTTGAGCTAGAATGTGGTAGGTGAAGGTCTCAGTCATACATAAATCTGAGTAAAAAGCATTTCGGGCTGAGGAAAAAACAAGGGAAAAAGGCCTGAGGCAGCCATGTGCCTGGAGAAGCAGAGCAAGAGTAAGGTGGTGAGTTCCTAAAATATGATGAGTGAAATGTTTTTTTTTTTTTTCCAGTTCTAAGGGATAAATTTAGACAGAAAGAGGTTAGATTATAAGCCATTAAAACATTGTAATAACTTTGGTTTTAATATACATATGAGAAGCCACTTGAGGGTCAAAACTCTGAAAAGATAAGAAGTGTCACGCTCAAACTTCCAGTTTTAAAAGATCACTGTAAATGAGCAAATTGGAGGATTCAGCAACAAAAGTGGAAACAGCACATTTCAGAGACTATTGCAAAAACCCTTAGGAAAACTGACGGTGCTTTGGCCCAAGCTATTAGGACTGGGGATGGAATGAAGTGATTGGATTCTAGATACACTTTTTGAGAATAGCGGTACAATATCTTCTGGCATAGTATTTCACTTATGGAATGTATTACATGGAAATAATCACATGTCATCAAAAGGATTAGCAGCAAAAGTTTTCCAGGAAGTTCACTGAATTATTATTTGTACTAGTTACTATGGTAACAACCTATATAAGCAATGCACATTCATTAGTGATAAACTAGACATTTCTAGAAAATAAGTAAATAACTTCTTACTCAACAGTATAAGTTATTCCATTTCATGAGTTACCTTTGATCCATTTTGTACTTACTGTTTGATGAATATAGCTTTTATTAAAAGAAAATTTTAGGCCGGGCATGGTGGCTTACACTTCTAATTCCAGCACTAAATGTTTCTCATAAACACTGCATTGATAGATCCATTTCAATATTGGACTTTCCATTGACTGTGCTAATGGTTACAAGAGAACATGGGCATTTGAAAAATAAAATGTTACTACCATAGATGATTCTTTATATTTAAATCCAAGAAGCAGCCTGTTAAAGATTAAAAAGGACATTTCTGGAGTTTCACAGTGGGATGCTGAAACCAAGTGGAATCTGCTATAGAGAGCCAATTGTTAAATATTCAGGAATGTTTCAAGCCAGTTGGCAGCATTGGTGGTTTAAAATTAACTATGGTGGGAGTATTTACACCACAGAAATTGGTAAGTGCTACAGATAGGGCCCTCACAGAGCCATTTTTTAAACATTTATCAGCATACAACTGAATAGAGGTGCTTTATTGTACATAACACAAAGATTGGAAAAACAAACTTAGCATGTAAGGTACATCAGAGATAGTTCAAATATAGTTCAAAATATAGTTCAGCATAAATGTATTTTAGGTAGTTTATGCCTTAAACCAATTTTCAATTTTAATAATGCATTAAGAATGTATAATACTTTTAGAAATACATTAAGTATTTGCTGCCATTCTGCATATGTTAAACACTTCTCCAAGTATGCCTTCTAATGAAGGAAGAATAAAACTTGCACAAGCCCTAAATATTTAGTGATGTGAGAAATTAGCCAACCCAATTTCAAAATAGGCAACACATTTCTTCTTCAAAATATATTACAAGGCATCAGACAATAATCAAATTCCTCCAAATTTTACTTACAGACTTGAATATCTCTGTTCATCTTTTAAAGACCATGTGGCAAAATTGCTTACCAACAGGATTTGTAGCAACTGAAACTGCAGACACCAAAAAGTCAGATACAGCAATTGTTTTGGAAATATCCATCATAGTCACCTGATTGCTCCTTCTACCACTTTCCTTTTCAGAGTTTTTCTTTCAGAACCTGTGTCTGGTGACTTTCCTGTTCAGTAGTAAATTGTCTTTGTTTCATTAAATTTATGAGATTTTCATCACATAAAATAGCCTCAGACAGAATCATTTTTGATCTGTCCATTAAGATTTAGCCAGATGGGTCTGCTGTGATGCCTCAACCAGCCATGCTCTGTTTTGCCAGCACATCACACCTTCACTACAGGGGGAATAAAAAAGCAAATCACCTATTAGTTGTTTTAATAGAGAGGTTTAAAATATAAATAGTGGCTGTTTTTCAAACCATTTTAAAATTTATTTTTGAATGATTCTAAGTGCTTAGACTTGCAAATAAACACATGCCTATTATATTTAAAATATTTTTTAAAATGCTTACATTATTTTTGTAGGTAGCTTTACCACTAAATTTATAGTAACATCTTTAAGACAAATGCAACTCTTACAAATTGTAAAGTCTATTTGTGAGAGTTTTAGGGGTTCTTTCACTCTTCAAATAAGGACTGTCTATTCACTCATAGCACCATGCTCCTTGTTAACAGGGAAAGCTGCCTGGTGCTGACACTTGTTCTTATAGATAAGGGGTGCCAGACTGCTGTGGTTGGGACCATCAATGTCAGAGGCACACTGGGTTTGAATCCCAACTAGACTTCACTTAAGTTACATGAATGTAGGGGAGTGACACAACTTCTTTATCCACAGTTTCTGCACTAGAAAATCCAAGTAAAAGTGGGACCTACCCCACAGGGGTTTTGTTTGTTTTTAGTATTAAATGATATCACATGTATCAACTGTATGCACTATATGCATTTTCTATTGCTACAATTGTTATCGTTAAGATTATTAAGACATTAGAAACATTTTGCTAAGAGAGTAAGAATTATTAATTTATTCAATGCACATGGATGCTTATTCTATCTGGATTACTGGATTACTATTACTGTCCTTTCCATCGGTTACATTTTTCATCCACTCACACTCATCCTACTCACTGAGTATTTACTCCTTTAGGGGCATAAATGATATCTTATGATTCACTTTTATCCCCCATGGCAGATAACCCAGAATTTCACATAGTATTTACCTGTCTATCATGATAAATGTGACTAGAACCAGGATCACAAGTTCCTGAAACACAGAGTATCTTGTTTGTACCAAGCTCTTAAGAACATTGCAAGTAAAGTCACATCTTCATTTAAAGGATTTGGGAGTTAAATCTTGACATCCATGTTCCTGGGTGATCTCAGGACTACCTGAGTCTATTTCACTTGGAATTATGGTTAAAATCAGATTTTAAGGCTCCATCTCAGATTTACTAAACCAGAGTCTGGAAACCAGAGACCTTGGAAGCATGCTATTCAGCTCCCCTAGGTGGTTATTATTTCCATTAAAGTTTGGCAGTTTGATCTCTCACCTCCTACTTGCTTAACTAGGCTCAACAACTATTGGGTTCCAGGGAACTTTCTTTGCTCGCTTAGAAAAACACAAAAATACTAACAATTGGTCTTTTAGGCACTCCCTAAGGTTCACTTTTTGGATATTATTCATAGTATCCTCAAAAATCCTTCCTAGTTTACTGCATTAGTTATGCCACAATAAGGAGGCATAACAAACAACCACAAAAATCTTAGCAGCATACAAAAGTAAGCATTTCTTTAACTCAGACCTGGGTTTGGCTGGGTAGTCTGCCTCCACTACGTGTGTTTCTCATCTTCTTCCTTTAACCAGTGAGTTAGTCCAAAGTAAGTTCTCATAACAATAACAGCGATGCCAGATCCCAAAAGTTTAGGCACATTTCTAATTTGCTGAGTCAAGTCTTCTAATATTCCATTGGCAAGAGCAAGCCATACATCCAAATCCAACAGGAACAGAACTTGGAGGTATACATTTTCCATGGTAATGGTGGGAGGTTATTGTCTCTCTGAAAACTATCCAACTGAACACATTGGCCTGAGTAGCTTTGCTTTATTTTCCTAGTAACCTCTTTGGCCTTCTAGTTTCTCCTACTTAAGGAGAAATTAAGGATGTCTCAAAAAATTAAATTCTAAACTAAGACAGTCTCACCTACATGACTACATTCGACAAATAAGAAAAAAAGGAAAATAACATAAAGTTGCAGTTTTTCTATCATATTCTAGAAAGATGTCTTTCTGGTTTTTTTCCTATTTGAATTCCTATACCCTACTACATAGTGTAATTGTGAACTTTTTATTTTTCCTAATAGGATAAGGCATGAGTATGTGAGATTATGTGTGTGACACAGAGCTAAATTATAACTCTCGGTTTCACAGCTGTGCTCCGAATTGCTCTAATACTATTACTATGGCATTCAGTACAACAAATGTTTCAGGAAAAATATTTTCAATATTGTTAAATTCCAACATTAATGTGAGCATTTGTGATGATTCCCCTGAAACAATTTGATAAATACAAAAGTAGTGAATATTTCATACAAACCTAAATGGTTTATTTTTAAAATGTTCAGATTAGATAATAATTTTGTGTTTCTTAATTTGATTTAATATGCATTCAAGATTTTAAAGCTAATCTTTTGGCATTTTTTCAGCATTAAAACACTATTTGGAATGTCACATTTTAGACTATTTTCACTGGCTAATATTGCACATGTTTTGGGACTTAAAGGGAAAATTATGGCTATGGTTTCAATAATACAATTCAATTCAGTAATGACTGATCTCCCAGACACCCTGCCGATGTTTGAATGAATATATGATATTCAAATGTAGTCTTTTTTAATATTCTAGAAAGACAAAGATAATTTTCAAGGGCAGGGATTTTTGCCTCATTTATTGTTATATTTCTGATACCTGATTTCTAGAAGAGGAGGTACTGTTCACAATTTTGTTGAATGGCTGTTGAAATTGAATGCAATCAAATATATTTAGCAGTATGAACAATGTGTTATGCAATCACAAAACAAATAACTTGATGAAAATTTAAAATAGAGCTATGATGATTCTAGATCATTAATTTCCTATAAGTGATATATTTATGCCTGAGAAGAACATAAATGTCAAGAATCATTTTGTGTTAATTTCCACTTTTATGTTCATTAGGAAGAGTAATCAGAAAAAAAGGGTGTGTGTTCCTTTGTGATTTGGGGGTCATCACCCTTTGAGAAAATAACAGCCTATGGGAGCTTTATCTATAATAAATTCATTTACATGCAATTTTTATGAAATTCCAGGGCTCCATGAAACTCTGAGCCCTATTCATATGTCACAGTGACTCTAGGTTAAAAGATATTGAGTCACAGTATTGTTATCCAACCAAAGGATCTAGTGGTATGTAACACATCTCGTAGTCATCCTCAGATTACTAGAATACTTCAGACTCCCAGAGGAACTGGAGTAGTTACTGTGTTTATATGCAACCCCAGGAGTCTCTATCAGACACAGCGGAGGTCAGGAAGTGCTGTATGTTATTCAGTTTTTCCCTGAGACAAATGTGCTGCACGTGTCACACTCATATTTCAATTACCAGGCTACAACCTTATTTGATAAGCGGGCAGTGAGAAGAGGAAGAGAGCACACAACAGGTAAACCACGAAGACCGCAAATAGCTCAGTTCCCTTAAAAAGGAAAGCTAGAGTGGCTAAGAAAAGAACCACTTAGCCCTAACCTTGTTCAGAAACTGTAAGGTAATACTACCCTGTACAAATGAGAAAACGTAGATGCTCTGCAAACCACAAGTCTGATAAGGCTTTGTAGCTCCTGAAGCTCCTGAAAACCTGTGGCCCTTTATACTAACTAGTGTTTGCAGCCCAGAGCGCATAAAAAGCCATCATCAGGCCCCTCAATGACCTGCTACACTGTCTGCAAACCCACTTGCGCTCACCTTCTCCTCCATCCTGCCTATTACAGGAGAAGAAATAATCTCTTCACCTACCAAAGCCCATCCTTTCTCGCCCTACTTCAAGCTTTCCTCCCCACTGATTCGTTTTCTCCACATCATCACTCTCAAGTCTCTTCTTTTTACAGAAAATTCTGAAGAAAAACAAAATTCATTTGCACATGTTCAAATCCTGTCATCTCATTTAGTGTCCGCCATATTCTTCCCCAATCTTGCCTCATCAATGATTACCAGTAAACTAATGCTAAGGGAGCATTTTCAGTCTTCATTTCACTTGAGCGCTCATTTATTTTAACCGTGGTGAATATTCACCTTACTTCTTGGAACACACTCATACCTCAGTAAGTTAGCACTACTTACTTTTTTTCTCATAATTTTCTAGTCACTGACTCTCTTCTTTGGAAGAACATATTCTTCCGTCTAAGTATAAGAAATCTGGTTTTCTTCAGGGTTTCATCCCTGAACTTCCTCTAGTTCATATTACAATAAAAAAATGTCCAAAACTATAGCCTCCCCTCATCTCAATAAATGTCACCAAGAGCCATATATTTCCCTATACCAAAAACCTAGATTCACAGTTGATTAAAATTTAAAGAAGTTATATGTCACTGTGATAACCCTAGAAGGAAAAAAACATATATGTCAGTACTTTCAAGGATTTTTTAGGTCAATCATCCTTCTCTTTAATAAGACGAGGGAATGGAGAATATTAGAGAAGATTTATATTTATAAAATAGTCAAATTTAAATTTAAACTTGTTATTTCTTTTGCTACATCCCTTAAATGGAATGGAAAACTTCCGGTAATATTAAAGATTAATTAAAAACTATTCTTGTATTTTTCCAATCATTCTCTTTGTTTAATTTTCTAGGAATAGAATCCACACTAAAAAACATCCGAAGAACACAAAAGCATATAAAACACAGTAGTTTTTGCTTACGTTATAGAATATATTGACTGTAGAGATTTTTTATATTGCTGCAATTGTTTATTTTAAAATCTGTTCACCTCTGATTTTTCATTAGTCAGAAAAACTTCAGAAATCGTCATCTAATATTCTTCATGTATGCTATTCAAACATAATTAATAGGATCCTTATCAGATTTAAAGCTAAACAGAAGACAAAGTCTGACTTCTTCCCAAATCTCCACAAACAATATCTATTCCAAGCCACCACCATCTCAGGCAGGGCTGTTGCATTCTGGTCTCTCTGCTTCCTCTACTGCTTTCTTCTCATTTTATCTTCTCATCTAGTATCCACACAAGGTGATATTTTAGTGAAGATTAATGGCTGCCTCACATCTGGAATAAAATAGAAATTTCTTACCCTTTTTAGATTCTGAATAAACAGGTGGTGTCTACTTTCCCACCTTCACTTTATCCCGTCTTCTCCTAGGTCTGTTCGATCAGATTGTATTGGATTTGGACTCAAGTGCAGAGGCCCTGAGTTCTTCACACAAAGCATCAGTCCATTCAAGACCTTTCTCTGTGTAATTTATGTGTATTTTCTATGTCTCGTTTCTTTACTTCCATTCTATTTGTTTACCAGGAACCCGATACGTTTTTGAAATGTGTCATTGAATTTTTAAGTATTCCTGAAAACTGACCTACGTAGTGTGTTGTTATGTGTGTATCTTAGTTTAACTAATTAATAAGGTATTATGGAATTGTTTCTTTTTCTCACTGTTGTTATTCAGCCTCATGTTTTTAATATCCATCCACACTGCTGTGTATGTCTGGTCTGTGGCTTCTAACTAAGTTCTACAGAATACTATATTGCATATAAATATCATATTTCACTCATTTATGTCTCATTGGTTCACTCATTCATCTAACAAGCATTTCCTGAATGCTTTACAATGCCTCATGTCCTGCATCCAGTGCGGAACATACAGCAGAGTGTGTCTGCTGAGGCAGAGAATACAGACACGCTTAAGTTGCCAGGTTGCTCACCCAGGTGGCCACATTGTACTAGACCCCCATCAGCAATATGTAAAAGCCCTTTGTTCACCACATCCCTAATAATACTTGTAAGTAACCAGTATCCATATATTATTTCCTAAGAAATTACTGAAAAACTGTTTGGACATTTCTTCATGACGAAAAAAACCAGAAATGTAATGTAACAACTAATGTAACAATTAAATTATAAGCAAATGTGTTCATAAAAAATATTTATTCAGCAAGATAAAATACTTATTCTTTATCAGTATGCATTTCACATTAATACAAATGTGCACTAATCCACAAAAGAAACCTCAATGAATCCAAAATATCATCCTTATACAGACCATCAGTTCTATACAGGAAATAATAATTGTAGAAAACATTTAAAAAAGAAGAATGGCTTCTTTGCTTTTCCATAAATCTGGAAACTAAATAACTTTAGATTTTAAAAAAAGGAAATTATAAGGAAAGCTTTGAAATATCTAAAACTGAAAAACAGTGAAGTATAGCACAATTCATGAGATGTCTAAATTGAATTTTTATGCGATCATCAAGAGTAAGGATTATTCAAAATAAATGAGGTAAGCTCATTTTTACTTGAGAACATGGAAAATGAACAAGAAAGTAAACATATAGAAAAAAGAAAGGAAATTATAAAATTAAAGCAAGGACTTATAAAATAGAGAATAAAACAGAGATTGTTAACATTACAAACCAATCACTTTAAGAGATTTTTAAAATAGACAAACATCTGGCAAAATCAAGTAAAAAATTAGAGGAAAAGATGAAATAAAATACAGCATGAAAAAACAAAATCAGTTCTAATAGCTATTAACTACTAAAATATAAACAATCTCAAATAATTTGAAAGCAGATGAAATATATACAATTCTGGAATTAGAGAAAGCATGAAAATTGACTTTAGCAAAAATAGAAATTTGCAGTAGAATGATAGCCTTCAATTTAAATACTGAACAAGGAAATCCATCCAACCTTTCCAACAAAGAGATTCACCTCACTCATTAAGCTTCCAGTTGCACTAACCTTCTTGAAAGTCTTCAAACATACTAACCCCATTTTGCTTCAGAGCCTTGGTGCTCTTGTCTCTGCTTGATTTACCATATTACCTGCTCTTCTCACCCGGCCCATCTCTACTCTCCTTCACTGTCACCTCACAAGTTACTTTTTAAGGGAGGCTTTTCTCATTTCCCAGAGTATTCCTTCCCCCTTGCATCCTCCCAGAACGCACCCACTCTTCCTCCTCCTCTTCTCCTCCCCCTCCTCCTCCCCCTCTTCCTTCTCCCTCCTCCTCCCCCATCCTCCCCCTGCTCCTTCTCCTCCCCCTGCTCCTCTTCCTCCTCCTCTTCCTCCTCTTTCTCCTCCTCCTCTTCCTCTTCCTCCTTTCTCCTCCTGCTCCTCTTCCTCTTCCTCCTCCTCCTCTTCCCCCTCCTCCTTCTTCTTCTTCTATAATTATTATTAAGCATTTATTTGATTATATTTTCCCTGATAATTTTATATTCTTAACAGCTGGAATGTCTTTCCTCGCCTAATTTCTGTTATTTATTACAGCATCTGGGATAAAGCACATGACCAGTTAAAACATACTGAATGAATAAATGAATAAATGACTTCTACCACTTTATTCTTTTTCTAGGTGCAAAGTTAAGCATACATATCCATTCGGACTTGCAAGTCATTAATTGAGATACTAAATGATATTTTGTGACCTCTAACCTATGAGGATACAAAGGCATAAGAATGATACGATGGACTTTGGGGACACAGGGGAAAGGGTGGGAGTGGGATGAGAGATAAAGACTACACATTGGGTACAGCCTACACTGCTTAGGTGATGGATGCACTGAAATCTCAGAAATCACCACTGAAGAGCTTATTCATGTAAGCAAACACCACCTGTTCCCCCAAAACCTAATGAAATATAAAATAAGTTTTAAAAAATCTGCTTGTGGAATGGATGTCCACCAAACAATTAAGATCAGTTGTAGCTTGTTCTCAACTCTGTTGAAAAGAATGTAGAGGTAGATATATAATTCCACTTCATATAACCTATTCCCTTGCCTTGTGGATTTGCATTCTGTTAGTCTAATAAAGTTCTCTACAAAACATGTCCTTTACAAATTCTTGCAAATGAAATGATTGGCTACTGTTTTTGTTCTAGAATATCAGGAAACTTAATATTAGAGTTATCAGCACATAATTTATAAACTTGATTTAAAACTATTTGGAAATAAATATACATCCACATTTTTCTCTGTAACTTTCAGGACATTTTTATGTCCTCAGTGAGTTGGCAGAAATCCTAACTAATGATTCTGCAATAACATCAGCTAATTCTGAAAAGCTTTCAGTATATGTCATCAGGTTGACTTTGAAAGTAAATTTGAAATGTAATCTGCAAACACTTTTCTTCCCTTTGTCACCTACACAAGTAATGGGCTCTGATTAAGTGATCATATTTGTAAATAAAATTCTATATCCACTCAATTAAATAGTTATATGAGATTTCATGTGGCAGTGTTGGGGAAATATATCTAAAAATGAAATCTGCTGCCCCTGCAGAAAACCTCTCTACAACACTAGAAGAAAAACAGGGGTTTTATTATTGAATAAACATTAAACAGCAATGTGATGCATGTCACTGACAATCCACTAAAGAGATGGTCAAGACAGGAAGAAATCTTAGCTGTTTATATAGCCAAGCAAACACAACTCGTAACACACAAGTTCTCAAGATAAACTAACTAGTCCTCAAGTAAGAGAACACTACAGCACTGTCTGTCACACATAATTCATCCTAAATGCACTTTGTAATTGGGTAGTCACCTGTGTTTGCTAATTGAGTTTAAATGAAAACTAAATTTCTCCTATCTTTATGAGCAGAGGCATGTTTGCCAACGAAAGTTAGGCTCCTATCATCCCAGGTAACTGGGAGATAGAGCCTCTATCTTCCTTGATGATTATATTTCAAAGAGTTGTCATTCAAGTCCTTGAGAAAACCTTCCTGAGCTGCTTATTTACATACATTTCAAAGAGACTGAGAAAAGGACTTACAAGTTTTCTACCATAAATAAGGAAAAGGGGGTAAAGGAAATCTCTTATTTTATTTTCAAGAGAGGGGATTAAGCCCCTTACTTCTAATTTGTATTTGCCCTTATAATAGACTCAAAGTTACAATGAGATATAAGGCATTTGTTAGTTTTAAATAAAATTTTTCTTTCACTGATTTTAAAGGTGACCTCAAAGATAGAACGAACAGGGGCAGATACTGAAAAGAGAAGCCTAATGAAAAATGTAATATCTGTTCTTAATAGTATTTAAAGGGCTTACTCAGAAGAGGGTTTAGATTTACCAGGTAAAAATCCAGGGAGGGCTGGGCGCGGTGGCTCGCGCCTGTAATCCCGGCACTTTGGGAGACCAAGGTGGGTGGATCAGCTGAGGTCAGGAGTTCAAGACCAGCCTGGCTAACATGGTGAAACCCTGTCTCTACAAATAATACAAAAAATTAGCCGGGCGTAGTGGTGGTGGCTGTAATCCCAGCTACTCAGCTCAGGAGGCTGAGGCAGGAGAATCACTTGAACCTGGGAGGCGGAGGTTGTAGTGAGCTGAGATCGTGCCGTTGCACTCTAGCCTGGGTAACAAGAGCGAAATTCCGTCTAAAAAAAAAAAAAAAAAAACAGAAGAACTAAAAACAATTAACTAAAATCTTTAGGGACTCTGCAGGGAGATGAGTTTTACTATGACAATGGGAGATGAACAGCCAAGCACGGCAACAATATCTCCTGCTTGGTGTTTACTAGAATTTTCCAAGCACTGGCAGAACTTTGCTCAGTGAGGGAAGTGCTGAAGTGATCCAACATTAGTTGGGTGATTAAACTGCAACAGGATAATATTCAGGGCTTCTTCCAACACTGAAATTCTATGATATATTTGCATATTTTATAGATAAGAAATGTGCCTATATTCCTGAATGTGTAGTCAGAGAAATTGTTGATACAATAAAATAACCTAACATCTTTGTATTTCAGTTTGAAACCGCTCAGCCTGAGAGATTACCCTGTAGAAAGGTTTGTTTTGTTCACAAGATTAGTCAGGCTAACTGCTTTAAAGGCCAGGGTGCAGAAAATGCTTTATTTAAAGCTTATTTTATTTAGCAGGTTGTGCAGGCTGTTTCTAGAATTCAAAAAATGTTTAGGCCTGGGAAAAAATGCTGTAGTGTGTAAGGAGAAGGATAGGAAATAAAGCAATGACGGAGAGAACTGTTTGCACCAAAATGAAAGAAGAGCAGGAAGATGGGTAAAGTCCAGGTTCAATATGCCGTGAAAGTCATATAAGAGAATAACAGTCCTGAAAGAAATGAACTGAGCAGGGAAGGTGAAAAGCATCTTAAGAAGAAAAGGGGTTCTAAATACTCTGAAAGAAACCATAGTCAAAGAGGTTACTTCAGGGCCAACACAAATTGAAGCAGGGAAGATCTTGATCAAAGGATATTTGAACTGCTGAGAAACAGAGTGAAGGATTAAAAGAATTGGGTGCTTATGTTTGGAACATGCCCAGACAATTGTCTTATGATTTTTCAAGGCTTCAGTTCATAAGTTAGAAGGCTAGATAGTTAATTGTATTACTTGGTTATCAGATTTTATTTTTATACTTTTTTTCTGGTTATTAAAATTAAAACATGCTCGTTCTTGAAAACATTTTCAAATGCATCAAAGTTTTAAAGTCTCTTGCACTGCCACTATTTTATCATTCTCAGTCTTTAAATTCTATATTCTAAACTTCTATACAGGACTTTTCCTTCTGCTTCTAGTGCACTATATTTTAATAGCCTATTGCATGGGCTCAAGATAGTTTTAAATCCCTGTTCTAGAACTTATTGGCTGCATTATACACTATACAGCCTCTCTCAGTTATTTCTTATTTATAAAAATGGAAGAAATTATATTTTGTAGGTATGTTAGAAGGAATAAATGAGAAAAGGCTGTAAAAGTGCTTAGCACAAAGCTTAGTGCCTACTAAACATTCCATAACCTATAATTTATAATATAATTATACTACACTGACAGCATATTTGTCAAAATCTTATTTGAAACTCTGCTTTTCAGTCATTGTTGTATACATTGCAGTCCAAATTCTGGAAGCATATATCTCCTATAATTCATAATAATACTACCCAGGTTTGGAACATCTTGCAGAATTCAACAATATCTATATATCATTTTATCTTTTTTATTCTATATTTTTAAAGTTTAGCTCTTTTGTAACATGTCTTCACCATTTTCATTATGCCTCTCTTGGACATTTCTCAGTATGAATTGAACAATATGCCACAAAAAGTATGTTCTTAAATGTTACGGAGCTATAAAGGAAAGGGAGAGAGTATGCCTACTATGTGTCAAATGCCTTAAATATATTTTTTTCTTTCATTTCATTCTCATGGAAGCATTTACTTTCTACAAATGAGAAAACTGAAGCTCAAGAGATTAGTTGATGTTAAATTTGGCTTAAAATACTTTGAGGAAATGAAAATAATAAATCACTTTTTATAAGTAATCCAAATGGTCATTCCCACAATACACTTAAATTTTGCACAGGAAATTCTTTGAAGCAAATTTTATTGTTATTTGGAATAACACTAGAAAACATTAAAATTGCCCTCCCAAACTGCTCTTCTGAACACCAACCTTAATCGGTGGATAACATCTTCATTCTTCAGTGGCTCAGACCAAAAACTTTGGAAGGCTTCCTTGACTCCAATACACCAGCAAATCCTGCCAGCTCTACCTTCAGAATGTATCCCAGATCCTCCCATTTATCCCCACTTCTAGAGCTGCCTGCCCAGTTAAAGAACCATCATGTCTCACGTGGACATCACTTTCCAACTGTTGCCATTGATTCTTCCTGTAGTCTCTACTTTGCCAGTCTGTTCTGAACACAGCTTATCTAAATGAAAGTCACCTTGTCACTTCTTTGTTCAAAACTTTACAATTGCTTCTGACTTTCCACGAGGTTAAAGCCAAATATTTATAAAGATTAAAATCTCTATAA
The DNA here is from genome assembly GCF_000001405.40 of Homo sapiens. NCBI lineage: Eukaryota > Metazoa > Chordata > Mammalia > Primates > Hominidae > Homo > Homo sapiens. Next base: position 146,011,159 of record NC_000007.14, read on the forward strand.
AGATATAAATCTCTATAAAGATTAAAATCTCTATAAAGATATAAATCTCTATAAAGATTAAAGCCAAATCTTTATAAGGGCTGTAAGAACCATTTTCTCTGGAACCCACTCTCTTTATATGTTCTTTTTTTTTTTTATTATGTCAGTAGGTTTTTGGGGACCAGGCAGTGTTTGGTTACATGAATAAGTTTTTTAGTGGTGCTTTTTTTTTTTTTCCCAAGAGGGAGTCTCACTCTGTTGCCCAGGCTGGAGTGCAGTGGCGTGATCTTGGGCTCACTGCAACCTCCACCTCCTGGGTTCAAGCAACTCTCTTGCCTCAGCCTCCCAAGTAGCTGAGATTACAGGTGCCAGCCACCATGCCTGGCTAATTTCTGTATTTTAGTAAAGATGGGGTTTCACCATGTTGGTCAGTCTGGTCTCGAACTCCTGAGCTCAAATGATTCACCTGCCTTGTCCTCCCACAGTGCTGGAATTACAGGCGTGAGCCACCGCACCCAGCCTTTAATGGTGACTTCTAAGATTGTGATGCACCTGTCACCCAAGCAGTGTAGACTGTGCCTAATGTGTAGTCTTTTATTCCTCATCCCCCTCCCACCCTTTCCCCCAAGTTCCCAAAGTCCATTGTGTCATTCTTATGCCTTTGTTTCCTCATAGCTTAGCTCCCGCTTATGAGTGAGAACATAACAGTGTTTGGTTTCCCATTCAACCTGGATGGAATTGGAGACCACTATTCTAAGTGAAGTAACACTTATATTTTATGGTCTGTTCTCTTTTCCTTTAAGTTTCTGATGCATGTCACATTCTCAGCGAGGTCTTCTCCAAATATGCTTATTAAATCACAACTCCACACATGTGCCCACATCTCCTAATTCCCTTTTCTGTTTCATCTCTCCATAAAACTTATCATCCTGACTTACGATATTACTTATTAGAAATATTGTAAGTTTATGTGTTTCCCCAAAGATAATTTAAACTTCATGAAGACGGGAGTTATTTTCTGTCTGTTTATTAATGTATCTATATTACTTAAAATAACCAATCTAATGGGTGGTAGTCAATAAAACATATGTTAAATAAATGAATGGGTATTCATTTATATGGGAATCGTTTTAGTTGCCTAAATGCTGTAACTGAACACATTCCCCCAATCATTGAGGATCAGCCACACCACTTCATTAAAACCATTTCAGTTCAGGCTGAACCAAAACACTTGAAGCTTTGCCTTTTGCCCGCCATGTTAAAATGAATAGCTAAAAACAAAGACAAACCACAAAATAATGTTAGCACTACTGTAAACCTAGCTACATCTCAGTTACCCAGATCATGAAAGCACCCAGAAAAAAACATACTAAGCTCAATTAAGGGAGCTTTGTGTGTAGATAGAGACATAGATATACACACACATACACTATATACAAGATAATACACCACCTATAAACTGGAAAATGTTAGCAAAGCATCTGCATGATCATCTTCTTCCTGAAGAGTATCTTCCAGCGTTTTTGTGGTATGTTTCTACTGGTGACAGATTCTTTAAGCTTTTCTTTTCTGGTCTAAAATGATCATTTCATCCCACTTTATTCTTGTAGTACGTGTGTGTTTAAAATTTGAGGTTGATAGTTATTTTAACATCGTAAAGATAGTCATTCCCTTGTTTTCTAGCTTCTAATTCTTTGTTTAAATTTTTGTTTTATTTTTTTGAGAAGCAGTCGCTTTTGTCACCCAGGCTGGAGTGCAATGGTGCAATCTCGGCTCACTGCAACCTCTGCTTCCTGGGTTCAAGTGATTATCCCACCTTAGCCTCCCGAATAGCTGGGATTATAGGCATGTACCACCATGCCCAGATAATTTTTAAAATTTTTAATAGGAACGGAGATTTCATCATGTGGATCAGGCTGGTCTCAAACTCCTGATCTCAAGTGATCTGCCTACCCTGGCCTCCCAAAGTGCTGGCATTACAGGTGTGAGCCACTGTGAACAGCCCCTCCCAATTTTTTGGTTGGAATTTCAGCTGTTAAATATACTGTTGTTCATTTGAAGGTATGACTTCTTTATTTTGTGTTTTTAATTTTTATTGGTATATAGTTGGTGTATATATTTATGGGACACTCTTCTTATTCTAGAAGCTTCTGCCTTTTTTCTTTCTAACACTCCAGTAACACTTATGTTAGACTTCATCATGCAATCCTATATGTCTTTTACACGTTTGAAAATTTGCTCTTTTTGTTGTGCTGTTTCTATTTACATATTTTATTTGAATCTATCTTGTAGTTTGATAATAATTTCTTGGATTGTGTCTTGTCTGCCATTAAACTCTGACTGTGATTTCTTAACTTGTTACTGCATATTAATTGCTCTAAAATTGCCTTTACAGTTTCTAGTTCTGTGACAAATTTCTTTTTTTTTTTTTTTTAAATTATACTTTAAGTTTTAGGGTACATGTGCACATTGTGCAGGTTAGTTACATACGTATACATGTGCCATGCCGGTGTGCTGCACCCACTAACTCGTCATCTAGCATTAGGTATATCTCCCAATGCTAACCCTCCCCCCTCCCCCCACCCCACCACAGTCCCCAGAGTGTGATATTCCCCTTCCTGTGTCCATGTGATCTCATTGTTCAATTCCCACCTATGAGTGACAATATGCGGTGTTTGGTTTTTTGTTCTGGCGATAGTTTACTGAGAATGATGATTTCCAATTTCATCCATGTCCCTACAAAGGAAATGAACTCATCATTTTTTATGGCTGCATAGTATTCCATGGTGTATATGTGCCACATTTTCTTAATCTAGTCTATCATAGTTGGACATTTGGGTTGGTTCCAAGTCTTTGCTATTGTGAATAATGCCACAATAAACATAGCTGTGCATGTGTCTTTATAGCAGCATGATTTATAGTCCTTCGGGTATATACCCAGTAAAGGAATGGCTGGGTCAAATGGTATTTCTAGTTCTAGATCCCTGAGGAATCGCCACACTGACTTCCACAATGGTTGAACTAGTTTATAGTCCCACCAACAGTGTAAAAGTGTTTCTATTTCTCCACATCTTCTCCAGCACCTGTTGTTTCCTGACTTTTTAATGATCGCCATTCTAACTGGTGTGAGATGGTATCTCATTGTGGTTTTGATTTGCATTTCTCTGATGACCAGTGAAGATGAGCATTTTTTCATGTGTTTTTTGGCTGCATAAATGTCTTCTTTTGAGAGGTGTCTGTTCATGTCCTTCGCCCACTTTTTGATGGGGTTGTTTTTTTTTTCTTGTAAATTTGTTTGAGTTCATTGTAGATTCTGGATATTAGCCCTTTGTCAGATGAGTAGGTTGTGAAAATTTTCTCCCATTTTGTAGGTAGCCTGTTCACTCTGATGGTAGTTTCTTTTGCTGTGCAGAAGCTCTTTAGTTTAATTAGATCCCATTTGTCAATTTTGTCTTTTGTTGACATTGCTTTTGGTGTTTTGGACATGAAGTCCTTGCCCACGCCTATGTCCTGAATGGTAATGCCTATGTTTTCTTCTAGGGTTTTTATGGTTTTAGGTCTAACATTTAAGTCTTTAATCCATCTTGAATTGATTTTTGTATAAGGTGTAAGGAAGGGATCCAGTTTCAGCTTTCTACATATGGCTAGCCAGTTTTCCCAGCACCATTTATTAAATAGGGAATCCTTTCCCCATTGCTTGCTTTTCTCAGGTTTGTCAAAGATCAGATAGTTGTAGATATGTGGCATTATTTCTGCAGGCTCTGTTCTGTTCCATTGATCTATATCTCTGTTTTGGTACCAGTACCATGCTGTTTTGGTTACTGTAGCCTTGTAGTATAGTTTGAAGTCAGGTAGTGTGATGCCTCCAGCTTTGTTCTTTTGGCTTAGGATTGCCTTGGCGATGCAGGCTCTTTTTTGGTTCCATATGAACTTTAAAGTAGTTTTTTCCAATTCTGTGAAGAAAGTCATTGGTAGCTTGATGGGGATGGCATTGAATCTGTAAATTACCTTGGGCAGTATGGCCATTTTCACCATATTGATTCTTCCTACCCATGAGCATGGAATGTTCTTCCATTTGTTTGTATCCTCTTTTACTTCCTTGAGCAGTGGTTTGTAGTTCTCCTTGAACAGGTCCTTCACGTCCCTTGTAAGTTGGATTCCTAGGTATTTTATTCTCTTTGAAGCAATTGTGAATGGGAGTTCACTCGTGATTTGGCTCTCTGTTTGTCTGTTATTGGTGTATAAGAATGCTTGTGATTTTTGCACATTGATTTTGTATCCTGAGACTTTGCTGAAGTTGCTTATCAGCTTAAGGAGATTTTGGGCTGAGACAATGGGGTTTTCTAGATATACAATCATGTCGTCTGCAAACAGGGACAATTTGACTTCCTCTTTTCCTAATTGAATACCCTTTATTTCCTTCTCCTGCCTAATTGCCCTGGCCAGAACTTCCAACACTATGTTGAATAGGAGTGGTGAGAGAGGGCATCCCTGTCTTGTGCCAGTTTTCAAAGGGAATGCTTCCAGTTTTTGCCCATTCAGTATGATATTGGCTGTGGGTTTGTCATAGATAGCTCTTATTATTTTGAAATACGTCCCATCAATACCTAATTTATTGAGAGTTTTTAGCATGAAGGGTTGTTGAATTTTGTCAAAGGCTTTTTCTGCATCTATTGAGATAATCATGTGGTTTTTGTCTTTGGCTCTGTTTATATGCTGGATTACATTTATTGATTTGCGTATATTGAACCAGCCTTGCATCCCAGGGATGAAGCCCACTTGATCATGGTGGATAAGCTTTTTGATGTGCTGCTGGATTCGGTTTGCCAGTATTTTATTGAGGATGTTTGCATCAATATTCATCAAGGATATTGGTCTAAAATTCTCTTTTTTAGTTGTGTCTCTGCCCGGCTTTGGTATCAGAATGATGCTGGCCTCATAAAATGAGTTAGGGAGGATTCCCTCTTTTTCTATTGATTGGAATAGTTTCAGAAGGAATGGTACCAGTTCCTCCTTGTACCTCTGGTAGAATTCAGCTGTGAATCCATCTGGTCCTGGACTCTTTTTGGTTGGTAAACTATTGATTATTGCCACAATTTCAGATCCTGTTATTGGTCTATTCAGAGATTCAACTTCTTCCTGGTTTAGTCTTGGGAGAGTGTATGTGTCGAGGAATTTATCCATTTCTTCTAGATTTTCTAGTTTATTTGCGTAGAGGTGTTTGTAGTATTCTCTGATGGTAGTTTGTATTTCTGTGGGATCGGTGGTGATATCCCCTTTATCATTTTTTATTGTGTCTATTTGATTCTTCTCTCTTTTTTTCTTTATTATTCTTGCTAGCAGTCTATCAATTTTGTTGATCCTTTCAAAAAACCAGCTTCTGGATTCATTAATTTTTTGAAGGGTTTTTTGTGTCTCTATTTCCTTCAGTTCTGCTCTGATTTTGGTTATTTCTTGCCTGCTGCTAGCTTTTGAATGTGTTTGCTCTTGCTTTTCTAGTTCTTTTAATTGTGATGTTAGGGTGTCAATTTTGGATCTTTCCTGCTTTCTCTTGTGGGCATTTAGTGCTATAAATTTCCCTCTACACACTGCTTTGAATGCGTCCCAGAGATTCTGGTATGTTGTGTCTTTGTTCTCGTTGGTTTCAAAGAACATCTTTATTTCTGCCTTCATTTCGTTATGTACCCAGTAGTCATTCAGGAGCAGGTTGTTCAGTTTCCATGTAGTTGAGTGGTTTTGAGTGAGATTCTTAATCCTGAGTTCTAGTTTGATTGCACTGTGGTCCGAGAGATAGTTTGTTATAATTTCTGTTCTTTTACATTTGCTGAGGAGAGCTTTACTTCCAAGTATGTGGTCAATTTTGGAATAGGTGTGGTGTGGTGCTGAAAAAAATGTATATTCTGTTGATTTGGGGTGGAGAGTTCTGTAGATGTCTATTAGGTCCGCTTGGTGCAGAGCTGAGTTCAATTCCTGGGTATCCTTGTTGACTTTCTGTCTCGTTGATCTGTCTAATGTTGACAGTGGGGTGTTAAAGTCTCCCATTATTAATGTGTGGGAGTCTAAGTCTCTTTGTAAGTCACTCAGGACTTGCTTTATGAATCTGGGTGCTCCTGTATTGGGTGCATATATATTTAGGATAGTTAGCTCTTCTTGTTGAATTTGATCCCTTTACCATTATGTAATGGCCTTCTTTGTCTCTTTTGATCTTTGTTGGTTTAAAGTCTGTTTTATCAGAGACTAGGATTGCAACCCCTGCCTTTTTTTGTTTTCCATTTGCTTGGTAGATCTTCCTCCATCCTTTTATTTTGAGCCTATGTGTGTCTCTGCACGTGAGATGGGTTTCCTGAATACAGCACATTGATGGGTCTTGACTCTTTATCCAATTTGCCAGTTTGTGTCTTTTAATTGGAGTATTTAGTCCATTTACATTTAAAGTTAATATTGTTATGTGTGAATTTCATCCTGTCATTATGATGTTAGCTGGTTATTTTGCTCGTTAGTTGATGCAGTTTCTTCCTAGTCTCGATGGACTTTACATTTTGGCATGATTTTGCAGCGGCTGGTACCGGTTGTTTCTTTCCATGTTTAGGGCTTCCTTCAGGAGCTCTTTTAGGGCAGGCCTTGTGGTGACAAAATCTCTCAGCATTTGCTTGTGTGTAAAGTATTTTATTTCTCCTTCACTTATGAAGCTTAGTTTGGCTGGATATGAAATTCTGGGTTGAAAATTATTTTCTTTAAGAATGTTGAATATTGGCCCCCACTCTCTTCTGGCTTGTAGGGTTTCTGCCAAGAGATCCGCTGTTAGTCTGATGGGCTTCCCTTTGAGGGTAAACCGACCTTTCTCTCTGGCTGCCCTTAACATTTTTTCCTTCATTTCAACTTTGTTGAATCTGACAATTATGTGTCTTGGAGTTGCTCTTCTCGAGGAGAATCTTTGTGGCGTTCTCTGTATTTCCTGAATCTGAACGTTGGCCTGCCTTACTATATTGGGGAAGTTCTCCTGGATAATATCCTGCAGAGTGTTTTCCAACTTGGTTGCATTCTCCCCTTCACTTTCAGGTACATCAATCAGACGTAGATTTGGTCTTTTCTCATAGTCCCATATTTCTTGGAGGCTTTGCTCATTTCTTTTTATTCTTTTTTCTCTAAACTTCCCTTCTCGCTTCATTTCATTCATTTCATCTTCCATCGCTGATACCCTTTCTTCCAGTTGATTGCATCGGCTCCTGTGGCTTCTGCATTCTTCATGTAGTTCTCGAGCCTTGGTTTTCAGCTCCATCAGCTCCTTTAAGCCCTTCTCTGTATTGGTTATTCTAGTTATACATTCTTCTAAATTTTTTTCAAAGTTTCCACCTTCTTTGCCTTTGGTTTGAATGTCCTCCCATAGCTCAGAGTAATTTGATCGTCTGAAGCCTTCTTCTCTCAGCTCGTCAAAGTCATTCTCCATCCAGCTTTGTTCCGTTGCTGGTGAGGAACTGCGTTCCTTTGGAGGAGGAGAGGCGCTCTGCGTTTTAGAGTTTCCAGTTTTTCTGTTCTGTTTTTTTCCTCATCTTTGTGGTTTTATCTACTTTTGGTCTTTGATGATGGTGATGTACAGATGAGTTTTTGGTGTGGATGTCCTTTCTGTTTGTTAGTTTTCCTTCTAACAGACAGGACCCTCAGCTGCAGGTCTGTTGGAATACCCTGCCGTGTGAGGTGTCAGTGTGCCCCTGCTGGGGGGTGCCTCCCAGTTAGGCTGCTCTGGGGTCAGGGGTCAGCCACCCACTTGAGGAGGCAGTCTGCCCGTTCTCAGATCTCCAGCTGCGTGCTGGGAGAACCACTGCTCTCTTCAAAGCTGTCAGACAGGGACATTTAAGTCTGCAGAGGTTACTGCTGTCTTTTTGTTTGTCTGTGCCCTGCCCCCAGAGGTGGAGCCTACAGAGGCAGGCAGGCCTCCTTGAGCTGTGGTGGGCCCCACCCAGTTCGAGCTTCCGGGCTGCTTTGTTTACCTAAGGAAGCCTGGGCAATGGCGGGCGCCCCTCCCCCAGCCTCGCTGCCGCCTTGCAGTTTGATCTCAGACTGCTGTGCTAGCAATCAGCGAGACTCTGTGGGCGTAGGACCCTCTGAGCCAGGTGCGGGATATAATCTCGTGGTGCGCCGTTTTTTAAGCCGGTCCGAAAAGCGCAATATTCGGGTGGGAGTGACCCGATTTTCTAGGTGCATCCGTCACCCCTTTCTTTGACTTGGAAAGGGAACTCCCTGACCCCTTGCGCTTCCCGAGTGAGGCAATGCCTCGCCCTGCTTCGGCTCGCGCACAGTGCGCGCACCCATTGACCTGCGACCACTGTCTGGCACTCCCTAGTGAGATGAACCCGGTACCTCAGATGGAAATGCAGAAATCACCCGTCTTCTGCGTAGCTCACGCAGGGACCTGTAGACCGGAGCTGTTCCTATTCGGTCATCTTGGCTCCTCCTCTGACAAATTTCTCTATTTTGTCTTTTACTTCTGTTGATTTCTGTTTATTTTTAAATCTATGTTTTGTAACTTAGTTATGTTCATTTCCTGTGTTACTTTTTATATTTTCTGGGTTATTTTGTCTATGCTATATATTATCTTCTTGTATGTATTTACACATTTGTACCATACATTACATATTAAAATATACAGAGCTATGTTGAGGCTCTTAATGCTATTAACACCTTCTAGTGAAAATTAAAATTTGCTTCTGGCAGACAGGCTAGAGGGTTCAGCTAATTCATCAATTAAACAGAGTTTAATTGGTGCTATTAGCTAAACAAATTATGAAAGAAAGTTGCTTGTGTGTAAACCTTATGGCACATGAAGAGTTGAACATTCTCCTTTCTGGATAACATCACTTCAGTAGGCTTATGTTTTGCTGAGGTAATGTAAATATGATACTTTATTAATAAGAATAAATTATGATGTAAATAAAAAATGATTATGCATTCTTCCTGATGCTGTCTCCACTATATCACATTACATATATTTTAGATAGTTATATTCTTATGGAGTCAATGAAATTTAGATTTTCCTTGGCCTAGGCAATTTCTCATTACATTAATTGCATTATTATAATATACAATTATTTAAATAATAAATATTTGAAATAACATTCACATTAATGTAGTCGAACACCCTTGCCACCATGTGCTGCTCTTTGCCTCTACATATTTACCCAGACGAGAGTTTGCACATATGGTCCAACTCCTGTGCCAATTCCAGCTGACGGGCTGAGTGGCTGCCTAGGACACAGTTAAGAGAATCTGAAGTTTTATACACAGTTCTGATATGGATGCAGGTGAGAGAAGTTCTGAAGAAATAAAGGTATATTTCCCATCACTAAGATCTCTTTCACTTAGTTTTTCTCCAGGCTATTTGCCATTTGTCCTATTTCTTAATCTATCAGCATTCAGGCAGCAGGGCTCACTGTGAGACTCATCTCATAATTCTTAGCACATTTTTTTCCTGAATCTGTACTCATCCTCAAGTTCCATCTCTCAAACAGAATCTACTTCCTCCCTGCATCTCTAAAATAGAGACTACGCTAATATTTGTCATTTAAATCCTGTGTGGTTGACTCTCAGAAGATTTTTGGAAATGGAGATATATAATAGTTGTATATCCTAAGCTTACCTTCATACAGGTCTGTCTCTACCATTTTAAAACTTGACTTCTGAAATTTATTCTTAAACATTATTTTCTTCGTATCTTAACAATCTAGTACATCAAATGGCTCCAAGTAAGTCATTTTGAAAGGAAAAGTGCAGATAGTGTGTACATAGGCTTAGGAGAGATAGAACTGTAGTCAGGTCTGACGAAGAAAGACGTCATAGATTCAGTAGAGGCACCTCCTTCTGCACATTAGTACCGCTAGGATCTGCTCCCGCCAACATTCGCTCCCCAGGAGTCTCTCTCTTCGTCTGTGTATCTTTATCTTTGGTAAAATCATAATCATTTGTATTTCCTTTGATCTCTACTGCACATGTGTATACATGCATATATATATGTATATATATATATATATACACACATATATACTAGAATATGTATAATATGTTTGATTTTCTTAAAACAATCTTTCACTTTGAAATTCTTAGGTGACACTTTTTATTTGTTTATTATTATGTTTTTTTTTTTGCTGATGTGATTGGGATTTTTTGTTTTTTTTTTTCAGTTTTCGGTATTTCAGAACCCGTCTGAACTCCACAAAATAAAGTTTGAAATATGAAATAGTTAATTATTCAAATAACACTAGAATAATTATTTGTGCATATATATGTGTGTGTACAATTAGGATGATATATATATGTGTGTGTATATATATGTGTGTATATATATATATGTGTGCATATATATATACACACACACATAAAGGATTTACCTTCCAAAGGGCAGTGAAAGCAATCAGAGTTTATTTGGTGCTATTAGCTGGAGCTATCATGAAAGAAAACTTCTCGTTAGTAAACATTATGGTACATGAAGAGTTGAAAATTCTCATTTCTAGAGAATACTACTTTAGTAGCCTTGTGTTTTACTGAGATAATCCCTATGCCTTCTGTTTCCTTTAATGAACTGCTCCTTATTTTTAATGGATTGCAATAGAAAATACTAAGATTATAACAACAATGCCACGATTAACTGACGTTCCTTCATCTATTTTCCTTTCATCCTCTAATTACTTTGTCTCTCCTCACTGATCTATCTTTATTTCAGCATTCAGTAATTTGGCTAACTTATTTCACGTTTCCTGCTCTAGAGGAAAGAGCAGTGTCCCTAAGAGCAGAAAGTGCAATGACATTTTAAAAATACAAAAGTCCAGCATATAATTAAAAATAGTGAGAAGACAACTTTTTCTTTGGCATTGCCCCTGAACTCGAATGAAAGAACATTTGCAGTACAAAGCATCCTATTTAGATTTTCATCTAAACAATGGGCCTAACATTCAGGCCATACACACCAGGAGAGCTGGAGCAGTTGCTTAAATGTTGGATGCTGTTGTATTTGTCAGGTTGTAGCCTGCTCGGAACCTGGGGTGGTCTCCTGCCATCCTTGCAGACCTGCTGCATCCCCCGTGTAACCCAGACCTGTTTATCATCCAGGAGGTAAAACGTTAGAGGACTGACTCTGCGTGAGTTTTATAAGCTGCAGCTTATTCTAATTGGTCAGTGATTTTATAACTAGCCATCCAATAATTTGAATATGACTCAACTCACAAAATCTGGCCTCAGAACAACTTCAGTGAGTGTACCTGACAAATACAGGACTTGCCATTTTATTCTCCTTGTGCCATTGCATTATTACATAAATTATTCAAAATAGTAACGCGTTGATTAATAAGATCATTAATGGATTTTGAAATTAAATACAACCTTGATTGCAAAAAATAAATCATTTTCTGTCACAGGATGAGGGACTGTACTCACACAATATTAGGTCATGTCTAATAAGGGTCAGTGCATTTAGCCTTTGTCTTAATACGCCAGCAGGAAGTCTGCTTTCTTCAGGTGCTATGTAATTTAGGGGGAATAGAATAATCTGAAATAAAATACATCACCTGAAACAAAAACGCATGAGAACATACTGCTTAAAGCAGTCTTTAATTATAAAATATGAACCCATATGTATGGCATCAAAAATAAGTTTAAGTGTTTTAAAAAAGGTTTCAAAAAACTTAGTAACTAAATGGTCTGTTTAGATTAATTGTTAGGATTGGGAACTGAAGTTGTTTAACACGTGTAATACATATAAGCTCATAGGTAGGGTATCAAGCACAGCACTAGGTATCTATAGAGCGTTTTTGCGATACACACACACACACACACACACACACCGTGTCTTTGGCTCACAAGTAGCTTTAATATGGGCCAAGAAAGCACTTAAGCCAAGGAGCTTTAGTTAATTATGCACATGCTGAGAGATTAAGGGAAAGTTTAGTGATGTCTGCAACTTTGAAGTGCACCAAAAATAAGACGTATTAGTAACTGGATAGAATAAAGTCTATTTGATAAAGCATTTATAGAAAAATGTTAATTTTGAAATCTAGGTAATGGCTGTTCACCGTAAATTCTTTTAACATTGCTGTATGTTTAAAAATATTATAATAAAGTGTTAGAACAAAATCTATTTTTTCTTGATGTGCTAGATTTCTTGAAATCTATTTTCATATTCCCTTCTCATGGACTGATACAGGAAGAAGGGTTTGGGGTCACTCTAGTTGTGTTAAAAAGTTTTATTCATATCCTTATAGAATAAAAGTCAGAACAAAGATCAGGCTCAGAGAAAACGGAGTTGATAAAACCGATGTGTTCTGTAATTTCTCAGATATATATTTATTGAGATACAAGACAACAGGATTGACTTAACATTATAGGTGACGTGATTGTAGAAATTTAGTATTTTGGTCATTTTTCCCTATCATGTGATTAACATTGAGAATTTAGGGAATGTTAGAAAGATACATCTGTGCTTAGTGGGTATGATACTTGATTTTGGATAAGATCTTTTATTCTTTTAATAAAAACAAAAATGAAACATGGAAATCATTATAGTTAAGTGAAGGGCAATGTTTACCATTTTCGAAATGCACTTTAGAAATTACAAGAATTTGTGAATTTTTATTAGAAATTTAATGAAAAATATTAACCAGCATTCAATTGAATACACAGGATTTAATTGGATAAAATTAATCATGAACATGAACTACAGAATTATTGTGATCTATTAGTTTAAAGATGTAAGCAGACATATTGGCAAATGTATGTTTACACCTTTAAATTACTGGATCACTATAATTCTGTAATTAAAAACCAAATTGAGTGAATCAGACACTAACCAGTGTAGATTCATAACTCCTTGAGATCTATGTGTTGAACAATCAAGTAAAAATTTATTGCAGAATTTTAGATCAAATATAGATCTCCTCACTTCTTTTGCCACTACTAAAATGCAAGACCATTGATATGGTTTGGCTGTGTCCCCACCCAAATCTCATCTTGAATTTTAACTCTCACAATTCCCACTTGTCATGGGAGGAACCTGGTGTGAGGTGATTGAATTATGGGGTGGGTCTTCCCTGCACTGTTCTCGTGATAGTGAATGAGTCTCACGAGATCTGATGGTTTTAGAAAGAGGAGTTCCCCGACACAAACTCTCTTTTTCCCTGCTACCATCCATGTAAGATGTGACTTGCTCCTGTGTGCCTTTCACCTTCTGCCATGATTGTGAGGCCTCACCAGCCACCTAGAACTCTATAACCTCTTCATCGAATAAACTTCTTTCTTTTGTAAATTGCCCACTCTCGAGTATGTCTTTGTCAGCAGCGTGAAAACAAACTAATACAACCATCCAGGGTAGTACGTATTTACACAACTATTTGTCTTCACTAATTTTCACACTTTCTTCCCAAAATTATTTCACAAAATTCTCTATTGCACTTGTTAAAATCTGTGTTGCGTTAGAACTAAAAGAACAATTCTACAACTGTAGCCTTTACAAAGGCTGTTGCCTTTAACCACTGTTCTTCACTGAAGTCAGGTTCTTACCCAAGGATGCCACCCTCCTGAAGTGGAACTATTTGCTCCTGTATATTTTATGCCATTGGAACAAGAGGTCAGCATTAATATTCTCCTATAAACCTAGACTTCTCCTTTTCCACATGTATGTGCAAAACCTTTCTCCTCCAAGAGTTCTGCCATGCAGGTAAAAAGTCTCCCTTGTAATAGTCACATGACATTCTGACCACGTTCTTGCGGTCACTGATCACGGGCTTCACTGACGTTCTTTCCGTTGCAAGTTCTGATGCCACCTTGGACAACGTGGATATCCATGTAATGAATCCAGCAAATAACTCTGAACTGAATATTTCTTTCTTTTCTTTCTTCTTTATTTCCTTCTTTCTTTCCTTCTTCCTTTCTTCTTTCTCTTTCTTTCTTCCTTCCTTCCCTCCCTTCCTCTTTTCTTCCTTTCTTCCTTTCTCTTTCTTCCTTCCGTCCTTCCCTTCCACCCTCCTTCCCTCCCTCCCTCCCTCTCTCTCTCTCTTTCTTTCTTTCTTTCTTTCTTTCTTTCTTTCTTTCTTTCTTTCTTTTTCTTTCTTCTCTTTCTTCTCTTTCTTCTTTCTTTCTTCTCTTTCTTCCTTCTTTCTTTTTCTTTTTTTTTTCAGAGCATCATTCTGTCACCCAGGCTGGAGTGCAGTGGTGTGATCTCAGCTCACTGCAACATCTGCCTCGCAGGTTCCAGCTATTCTCCTGCTTCAGCCTCCCAAGTAGCTGGAATTACAGGTGCATGCCACCACAACCAGCCAATTTTTGTATTTTTAGTAGAGACGGGGTTTCGCCATGCTGGCCACGTTGGTCTCAAACTCCTGACCTCAAGTGATCCACCTGCCTTGGCCCTGCAAAGTGCTGGGATTACAGGTGTGAGCCACCACGCCTCCCTGAATATGTCTGAACTTTTGACAAATACAGAATTCACTTCAGCTGACTCTCGTGACCAGACCTCAAATCTTGTAATTTCCCTGAACTATGTGTACTTTGAATCTATTTTCACCATAGCAAATCTCATTTCCTTATGCTTTGTTTTACGCTATTTAGAAACCCAGACTCTTTTCTACCAAACCCTACTTGTTAGTATAATTTTATCCATTTGCACAGCCTAGAACCTTGGATTCTTCGGCCTCATAGTTCATAATTTCAACCACTTACTGTCAGCACCTTCAATTCCTAGGTCCCTTGTTCCCTTGAAGTTCTTACCTTACAAATCTTCAACCTTGGATTACGCATGGAATCCAAGAGAACATATATGTCCTCTCTTCTTCTGTAACTAGGCTGCTCAGCATGGCTGGACAGAATACTTAGCACCACTATCAGGCCATGGTCTCTGAGCTCATCTGAGCTGTCGATACTCTTATCATATCATTTTACCTGATTCTGCTCATACCTATTTCTTTCTGCTACAATGACTAATTCAAATCCACTTTTTTCTCTCTCAATATAAAACTAGGCTTCCAAATTTGCTAAGAAAAATCAAGACTATTAGTGTAATTTCCTAATCTTCTATTCCTATTTCTAAAAGTGATTCATATTGGCACATTTTCACTTTCCTGTAATCTATTGAGAAAAAGTGTGTTGTATTTAACTCAAGGAATATATTTTTTATGGCAGTATAATTTTTTATTTCTATTTTTCTCTGTTTCAGTAGCTTTAGGGATACAAGTTGTTTTCAATTACGTGAATGAATTGTAGAGCGGAAAAGTCTGAAATTATAGTGCTCTCATCATCCAAGTGAGTAGTGTACATTGTATCCAATATGTAGTTTTTCTCCCTCACCCCTCTCTGACCCTCCCGTCTTCTGAGTCTCTAATGTCCATTATACCACTCTGTATGCCTTTCTATACCCAAGCTTAGCTCTCACTTCTAAATTTGGTTTTCCATTCTGCAGTTACTTCACATAGAATAATGGCCTCCAGTTCCATCCCAGTTTCTGCAAAAGATATTATTTCATTTTTTATGGCTGAGTAGTATTCCATACCATATTTTCTTTTTTTAATCCATTCATTGGTTGAAGAGTACTTAGGTTGGTACCACATCCTTGCAATTGTGAATTGTGCTGCAATAATCATACACATGCAGGTGTCTTTTTGATAAAATGATTTCTTTTTCTTTCAGTAGATGCCCAGTAGTGAAATTGCTAGATGGAATGGTAGAAATACTTGTAGTTCTTTGAGAAATCTCCATTTTGGTTTCTATATAGGTTATACCAATTTACATTCCCACTAGCAGTATATAAGCATATGAGCATATAAGTAGTATATAATTACCTTTTCTCCAAATCCACACCAACATTTATTGGTTTTTGATTTTTTAAAAATAATCAAGTCATATCTTCTCACTGTGCTCCCATTCTGGGAACTCACTGCAAGATTACAAATGGAGGTTTCAGAAAAACTGTTAACAGTGACAAAATGGAAATTTCTAGAAAGAAGCTAGTTTTGAGGATAAAGGGCTTAGTTTTAGTCATGAATGAGCAGATAATGTTCAAATTATGCACAGTATATTTTTAGAAAATTTTCCTCATAAAGGCTCAGAAAAATTAAAAAGTAATTAAGAAAAGAACCAAAATCTGTAAATCACTTTATTACTGTGTTGTGATCTTGTTTGAATCAATATGAAATTAAAAACATTTATTTAATATATGCCTATGGTGTCAGTGTTGGCATATTATCACTAAACCATAAAAAAAATTGACCTCAGAATAAAATTGATTTTGACACATCTTATAATTTAAAATTAATAGTTAATAATTAGCAATTATTAATAATAGCTAATAATTATGTAGTGTCATTGTAATATAATTTATAATTGTAGATGGTATAGCAGAAAAGAATATGGGTTTTGGAGCTTGGTTTTCTGATTGTGAATTCTATCTCTGACAATTAGCACAATGGTAAGCAATATGAAATTAGGAAAAGTATTTAATTTTATGGCTCAAATACCTTATCTGTAAAATCAAGATAATGAAATATCCAAATCATACTGTTGTTTTGAGGTACAAATTCGTTAACATGCGTTAAATACATGGTACAATGTCTGGAGCAGAGTAAGAACTCAATAAATTATAGCTATTGTTATAATATTTTAATTTTTTTTACCAGTAATTGCTTTTGGCCAGTAATTGCTAATGAAATTGCTTTTCTTTGTAATAGAGAATAGTATATATGAATGATGAGTGAAAATCATGATTTTTTCATTTGAGGAGTCACAGGTGTTTTTAGTAGTTTATGAAACTGAAAATAACTTTTTAACAACATCATGTATTTTTCTTATTAGGCAAGGTTGTTTAGTTGGGAATTAAAATTTTTCTTGGATGGTTTAAAGGTATTGCCAAATTGGCTGTAATATGTTCAAAATTAGCCTTTAAAAATAATGCATTCTTGAGTGTAAAAAAAAACTTAGCTTAGAGATTAGTTTATCCCTATATACTTTATTTTTGGTTGATGGCATTACACAATTAAGTATCTGCTTATACAATGTATCAGAAATTTCCTAGTATTTACTAATACTTAAACATATTTCATATATTTATATTTAGGTACAGAAAAATATGTTAAAATATTTTTTATACTATACCATATTAATCAGAAGTGTTATCTCAATGTGTGTTTTCTTCAAAAAAGGTCATTAGACCATGAAAAGGTGAGTCAGTTTGATAGGAAAGCTCAACCATAGCAACAAAAACTATGCATACAATGACAGACCCTCGTAATTTTGGGATGAATTGTAATTGAAAGCCTGTGTGTCTGGAAAGGATCAATGTGATGGCTGTATACTAACAAGCCACAGCAGATGGTCCAGTTTTGTTTAGAGTGGTCAGATGGAGTGCAGAAGCTAAAAATCATGACATCCATTTCAGAACCAGAATTTCTAGATGTTATCTCCTATGTGGTTGAAGAAAAGCATCTTTTACAGACCCATGCGCTCATATGGAAATGGCTATTATGTATGAAATATAAAATATTGTCACTCATTATTGTTCGTTATAGTATGCTTTCCATGATGAGTTTACATATTTTTATGTAGCAGCCATTGAGTATACACAATGGGATATTAGCCAAACAGAATGACTGTATCTGACCTACAACTTAAAAATTATCATAAGAAATGTTTGCTTATACCCAATCAATATTCTAAAATCACACATATGGAGGGAGGCATTAATGTTAAAAAGGATTAAGAGAGTTTCTACTAAGAAAGAAATTATGAAGAAGAAACTTAAACATAATTTATATCAGAAGCATGGACACATGCATATATGAATTATTAGTATTATCTTAATCAAAAATATCTTCGCTTTTATTTGGTAGACAGTATTTTGCTATATAAAGTGTGCTGCAATTATTGTGTAATGATAAAGGGGGTATATTTATAGTCCACTCATCACATAATCACATGGCACTTGATGTTTTAAATGTCTTTTCATGCCAAATTACTGATGAAGGTATTATTATTCCGATTTTATTTATTAGAATATGGTCATGAAATAATTTCACATACTCCCAATGTTATTAAATATCGTAGCTGTGCTTCTTAGTTCTGACTTTAAACTTCTACCTTACACTATATTCACTAATGTCCAGTTATTAAATAGCAAAAAACTAGAGTGACATGTGCACATCCAATTACCTATCTCAAATAAAATTCACAGAAGAGCCTTATCAGGCTGATGACACTCTGTTGTTTTACTTATGTGGTATACTCTAGAATGCTTGAACTCTTTGCCGTGTTTACTTCTATTCATTCTTAAGGATTGTTTGACGAACCTCCATGGATTTTTCCCATTAACCAATGTAGATTTCGGTGTCATAGATCTCTGTGCTCACGTCTATTGCAGCACTTACATTTTAGTGTAATAGCCTATTTAGTCTATTCTCTCCTACAGTAGATTATCTGCAGAGTTTATGTCAAATATTCTATAAAGTCACTCAGGGTTATTACGCTGAGCTTCTCTTTGTGGTAAATAGCACTCCTCATCTAACAAGAAACAAAGCTAGGTTTTTGAGATAGTTCTTTGACCATAAAGAAAAAAATTGTTAAATGGGGTGCCTAAGAACAACAACAAAGATCAGTATTATGCTCTCTGATGGCACCTTTTGATTTGGAATTTCTGGGTGATGTGTAATATGTCAAAGCTACACTATGACTCTCTTTGCTCTTTGAACCAAACTGAGATAAATGCATGTAGCCCTTCTGCAGGATCAAATCAGGAAGAAATGCGTTACACCATTGTTCTGATGCCTGTGGACAATGATATCTATAGTATATATTACATTAAAGACATTCTCCTTCTATGTTAAACCATGCTATATTGATATGTCAAATTGAATGTGAGTGGCAAGCTACTATCTGCTAACCATTTTAAGACTTAGTCTTACCTCAGGTTTAAATGAGCCTTGTAGTCATTGTAGGAGAAACTCAGTTGAAACCTGTCTAAGAGTGGCTTTTTCTGACATGAAAAAAAGGTAAGATATGGGTTGTATAACAGCAAAATGACTTAATGGCATGGTTTTAAATATATGTTGATATGGACATTAAACATAATTATTTAACAAGATGACAACTAGGAAACATCTATTTACATGGCAATAGGATTGACCTTTGCTCTGGTCTTTGACATTCATCTCTACAAAACATGCAGTTAGAAGGCTAGCTATTTTCCTTAAAACTGATGGACAAGATGAATAATAGTATTATCAATGTTCCCCAAGAAAGTAAATGTATATTTTTCTATAGATATTTATAATTTTAAAAATTATTTTACTTGCAATATTCATTTTGTCCATTTTCAACTAGATAATCTACAAGGAACTTACCTTTACCAAATATTATGCTGTGTTTTTTTTTTTTACTCAAGACAGAACTATAAGTTTTAATGCTTTGACAAAATTATAAATGTGCATTAATAAGATGACTAAAAGGACAGATAGTTTTAAGTGAAGCAGCAAGTGCAAAAACTGGTAAACCCGAGGGCACATATTTTCAGTTGAATGCTCTAGGCATATATCTGAAAATATTTAAATATTTAAAACACAGGCGCATGATTCATCCCCTCCAGTTGTAAAAGATACTTAACCCAACAAATACAAGGTAGACAATAAAAAGGATAAAAAATGAACTGTAATCAGGAAGGAGATAGCTGCGCCAACTACTGTAAACTGAATAATTATTGCAATTTAGAGTTGTAGTCATTTTTGAACTTAATAACAGAGAAAACAAAAGAAAAAGAAAATTTTGTTTAACTAATACTCATTCACTGATACAAGGAAATAAATGAGTTTTTTTAAAGACCAGTTTCTTGATAATTTCTAGAAGATAATTCTATGAATAATTTATCTTCTAGATACCCGTGTAAGCCATATTATATAAAGTGTTGGGCAATATCTTGAGGAACAATTGTGTTCTCGTGACTGTATATTGCTTATTTTTAATGGCCAGGCAATAAGAAAATATATTCTCTAATTTGTAGTGAAGTACGTACAATTTGCTGTAAGACAACGCAAGCTGGAAATCCCTCAGGTACCATATAAATTGGATACCATTATTTTCCAGTTCTGCTATGAATACCGCTTTGGGGGGCATAAAGCTTATAAAAGTTTGATAATCTCCTTAAAATGAAGAAAAATATATAATGTTATTTATGGAATATTTACAAGAATATGGGGATATGAATACCTAGGATTTGAAAGGGTCCAGGAGCTGAAGTTTTATTTGTTTCTCAGGCAATCTTCATTTGTCTTCACCTTTTCAATCTTGCCCATTTTTAATTGTTCCCTTGGGCAACCATCCAGATGTAAGACTAAACCTAAGAATTATCATAAATAATTCTTTTTAAATTAATGCCATCTCACCCTATCATTCTCACTCCACATTTAATATCTAAACTTGGTGGTAATTTTAATGTTTAATAGGTGTTATTTTATCTCTCTGAATTAATAATAATAATAATAATAATAATAATAATAATAATAATAATTCTTGCAGCCCTTTGTGATGAACTTTTCCACTCATTTAACCCAATGTCTTTGACACTCTGTTGCCATATGATCTAACAGGGCGGGTGGATTTCAGACTTGTGGTACATTAACATCATCTATAAAGGTCGTAAAAATTGCAGACATTTGGGGATCCATGGTCATCAACTTTTATTTAATGGTTCTGGTTGGTACCCTGAAATCTTATTTTAATTTCAATTATTTTATTTTATTTTATTTTATTTTATTTTATTTTATTTTATTTTATTTTATTTTATTTTTTTGAGACGGAGTCTCACTCTGTCAACCAGGCTGAAGTGCAGTGGCGCAATCTCAGCTCACTGCAACCTCCACCTCCCGGGTTCAAGCAATTCTCCTGCCTCAGCCTCCCGAGTAGCTGGGATTACAGCTGTGTGCCACCATGCCCAGTTAATTTTTTTGTATTTTTAGTAGAGACGGGGTTTCACCATATTGGCCAGGCTGGTCTCGAACTCCTGACCTCGTGATCTGCCCGCCTCAGCCTCCCAAAGTGCTGGGATTACAGGCGTGAGCCACTGTGCCCGGCCTGAATGTTATTTTATAAAAACACTTGACAATTCATATGCAGATAGCCCATAGAACTCCTTTTGAGGAAGTTTGTGGAGAAGAATCATAAACTTTGTGTCTTTCCTTCTTTTTAAAAGGCACACGTCCGGTACATCACATGCAGTTAGTAAATACCTAATTAATATATGAAATAATAAGCATTAATATATTTCAGCCAAGTAATTTCCAAATGTAGTTAAGCGGCTGAAGAATGAGACTGACACTTCATTTTTCTATGGGGACTAAATTTATAGATCTTATTGCGGTCCAACCATTACTCGCATTTGAATCGCTAAATATGTTTGCTAGAATTACGGTTTCCAATGTTACTCACATCTACAGACATCTCTTGGTAATATACATTTTCATTGGCTCCCCAAGTGGTATTTTCATACACTTTATTTTGAGAATCATTATTCTAGAAGGTTTTATATTCTGCAGTTATTCTTCTTAAAGTACTCTTGTCAAATAGTTTCCTCATATACACCTCATTAGACATTGTTACACTTAATATTGTGTTTAAATTCTGAAAAGAAATGTGCTTTATATATCATGTGTAAAATTCATTTATAGAACATTTTAAGGAATTATATAATGCACCTGATATTGATGTGTCTATGTCATCTTCTCTTTATTATGGAAGAAGACAACAACATTGCCACAAGCATGAGGGTATATGTATCCTTAAGAGGGGGACAAAAAGCTTTTAATCTCCTAAAAAAATTGTTCAGAAATTCAGTCAAAATCTGTCGGGCATGGTAGCTCACACCTGTAATCCCAGCACTTTGGGAGACCAAGGTGGTTGGATCATCTGAGGTGAGAAGTTCAAGACCAGCCTGGCCAACATGGTGAAACCCCTTCTCTACTAAAAATAAAAATAAAAAAATTAGTAGCTAGGTGTGGTGATGCATGCCTGCAGTCCCAGCTACTTGGGAAGCTGAGGCAGGAGA
The DNA here is from genome assembly GCF_000001405.40 of Homo sapiens. Taxonomy (NCBI): domain Eukaryota; kingdom Metazoa; phylum Chordata; class Mammalia; order Primates; family Hominidae; genus Homo; species Homo sapiens. The sequence goes on from NC_000007.14 coordinate 146,033,195, forward strand.
ATCACTTGCACCCAGGAGGTGGAAGTTGCAGTGAGTGGAGATCGCACCACTGCATTCCAGCCTGGGTGACAGAGTGAGACTCTGTCTCAAAAAAAAAAAAAAAAAAAAAAAAATTCAGCCAAAATATTAGATTCCTAGAAAGAACATTTTGGCCTCTACAATGTGTAGGTCAATAGCTTGTTTCAAATACGCATTTTTTAAAAAAATAGAATTTTTGGCCGGGCGCAGTGTCTCATGCCAGTAATCCTAGCACTTTGGGAGGCTGAGGTGGATGGATCACCTGAGGTCAGAGGTTCAAGACTAGCCTGGCCAATGTGGTGAAACCCCATCTCTACCAAAATACAAAAATTAACCAGGTGTGGTGGTGTGCACCTGTTCACCCAGCTACTGGGGAGGCTAAGTCAGGAGAATTGCTTGAATCTGGGAGGGGGAGGTTGCAGTGGGCCGAGATTGTGCCACTGTACTCCAGCCTGGGCAATAAGAGTGAGACTTTGTCTCAAAAAAGAAAAAGAATTTTTATTTGACTTCATGTAAACTGATTTCAAGTAATGCATGATCCCAACACATCCACAAAGTATGTAAAATAATGTATACCCACCTTATTATTTGAACTAAATTTTCTTATATGCTATAATTTAAAATATAACTTCAAAAATTTCAAATTTTTTCTTAAGGTTTCAGAGCCCAGTTAAAAATACCGTAAGAAACTACCATTTAGCCATTGAACATTAATTAATATCAGAGATCCTTATTTTGTTTCTGACATTAGTGACTAAATCGGAAAAACATAATCATTATGGTGAACATAGTAGAAAACCTTGGCTTTAAGCTTCTTAGACGTTTGATCTTTGGCGAGTATCCTCAACATAGCCAAGCTTCATTTTCCTAAATTTTCTCCAAATGAGGAAAAGAGTCTTCATAACATTGTCCTACGATTGAAAAAAATAATATACCTATGACATTTCTCACAGCACTTTAGGGCAGGGATGACTGTTCAGAAATCATTCTCATTGCTCTGCAATTTTATCAAAATGTGTTAAGTATTTAAGTGTTCCAGGAAAACTCTTGGGGAATAGGTGGTATATTGAAGGTGTCTGCAGAGTGATTCTGATGAGTGACTTCATTACATATAATTTATCTTGATTTTACAGAAGTCTAAGAGTATTCAACTGCCTAAACGTTTAGACAAAATGTTATCTTGGCAATGGGTGCATTTCTTTGAGCTGCTTCAGAAGATGCTTATTTTAGTCAAAGTCCATGCTTGCTGTGAATGACCTGTGATAAAACACAAAATCCCTGCCGAATTCTGATTTCTCGTCTCTTAGAGCTTATGAGCTGGTGTTTTTCCTCCAACATCTTAGACTTTTGCCAGTACTTCTGCCTATATCTCAGATTCTTGCCCTCTAATTTTCCCATTTCTAGAGCCACCTGACCTTGTCTGATCTGTATGTCTTCGCTGTCTGAAATGACAGTATTTTACCTCTTTAGATTGTTCTGCCAATCAATCCTACCTCCTAGAGTGTACTCACTGCCTCCTTGCTAAACTCTTGACCTTCGCCCCCTGTCCCCACCTCACATCACTCTGCCTAGGCCTATCATATGCTACTTTAATTTCACTCCTCAACCTCCGAGTGTTTCATCAGATATATGTGATGCTTGTTCCTCAAGCCTTTTCTGTGACAAGGGCTTCTTTTTAAGACATGTATTTGCTCTGGTGACAAAGGTAAATTTCCTTTTAGTTGGTTAAAGGAAAGTTTAGCAATAGCTGCCAGTAGATCATCAGATCATCAAAGGTTCTATACATCAAATTGTCTACAATCACAATTTTTGTGTGTCCAGTTGGGAGCAATTTATCATCACTAAATGTTGCATGGAGGCTCTTCATAAGCAGAATATGTGTGAAACCTGTTCCTGGTATTCACTGCCAACAGGTGATGTGTGAGACAATTTGTTTTCTGGCCTAAGAAGAAAATATTATCATTTCCTAATATTTACTGAATTACTTATTGAATTTGTTTTGGCAATAGACTATTAGGTAGTCTTGGAGTGTATTCATAAAGGATTTCCCTAGTAGTGTAAGAAAGTGTTCATCTCCAGATAGAACACTTTAAATCCACTGCAGTGACTCTTTTTTTTTTTTATTATACTTTAAGTTTTAGGGTACATGTGCACAACGTGCAGGTTAGTTACATATGTATACATCTGCCATGTTGGTGTGCTGCACCCATTAACTCATCATTTAACATTGACAAATAGGATCTAATTAAACTAAACTTTTGCACAGCAAAAGAAACTACCATCAGAATGAACAGGCAACCTACAGAATGGGAGAAAATTTTTGCAATCTACTCATCTGACAAAGGGCTAATATCCAGAATCTACAATGAACTCAAACAAACAAATTTACAAGTGACTCTTACTTACATTAATTTGATGAGGTTTTTCTCCAGGTCTGGATAGTAATGATGATAACTCCACCATTAAGAAGATACTCTACTTTTGCATAAAAATCACAATGTCCAACACTTTTTTACATGAATTGTCTCATTTTATGACAGCAAAAGCTCTCTGTGATCCAGGTAGGATAAATATAGTGTACCCCTCATACAGCCAAGCTACAAAAGCCCATGGAAGTGTTAGGGCTGATCTCATGCTAACATATGGTAGACCAAAACAAATGCTTTCTTATTTAATAACAAATCTTACTTGTACACCAGTACATGAATCAGATAAAAGCAAGACTTGGCTAGTTGAACCAAGGAGAGACCCTTGACCCTCTGTTAGCTCAGCCTCTCAATGCCACAGAACACAGTTTTAAGGAAGAGGTTATCTGATCAAGTTGTTATTAGAAAGCTACAACAACAAAAACAATTATTCTGATGCAGAGTCAAGAGATTGGTGTAGAAGAGAGCCTGTAGGCTGAGGGACAAGAGTTAGTAGCTAGCACTTCACAATAAGAGAGAGAAACTGTAAGACCAGAAAAACCTATAAGGGTTCCCACTATTCAAATCCGGGATACTTAAAAGTGCAGTAATGCATTGTAATACATTAAAAAATTAAAATATATGAGTCCATAGAGATAACATAGGTAAACAAATAAATATGTACCTACATGCATGCACACATATAAAATACATAATTAGGAGAGAAGAGAGGTCCTTTTCTGAAGCATCATGCAGGACACCCAGTCAGTGTCTCTGCACAAGTAGACTGGGAAAATTATTATGTTGATTTCCTTATAACAGGGATTGGGTGAGATAGAAATCATCAGTAAATGGTAGATCTAGGGAGAATTTTTGCTAAAAATCAGCATATTTCCTTTGTCTTAAAGTTCCCCCTTCTGACTGCTTATTTGTAACAGGGAGAAAAAAGAAGTAATTACACAGCAAAGTAAATTATGCAGCACCTTGAACAAGCGATCAAAGCCAACTTCACCAGTAAGGGACATAGAGATATCATGTGTCTTCAGATGCGACAGTCCAAGAAGGACACATAACCTGTACAATATTCCAGCTGAGAATGAAAAGTCTGAATCTAATAACAAGAAACCACCAGATAAACACAAAATTAAAAGTTTACATTAAATGAAAAGGAAAGAGACCAATAAATGTCAATGTCATAAAAGACAAAGGCTGTGGAGATATTCCAGATTCAAGAAAGTCAAATAGAAATGACAACTAAATACAATTTCTGACTCTAGGCAGAATCTTGTATTGAAAGAAAAAAAAAAAAGAAAAAAATATATATATTTTTTTCTTCCTCCTTTTCTTTTTTATTTTATTATACTTTAAGTTTTAGGGTACATGTGCACAACGTGCAGGTTTGTTACATATGTATACATGTGCCATGTTGGTGTGCTGCACCCATTAACTCGTCATTTAGCATTAGGTGTATCTCCTAATGCTATCGCTCTCCCTCTCCCACCCCACAACAGTCCCCGGTGTGTGATGATCCCCTTCCTGTGTCCATGTGTTCTCATTGTTCAATTCCCACCTATGAGTGAGAACATGCGGTGTTTGGTTTTTTGTCCTTGCGATAATTTGCTGAGAATGATGGTTTCCAGTTTCATCCATGTCCCTACAAAGGACATGAACTCTTCATTTTTTATGACTGCATAGTATTCCATGGTGTATATGTGCCACATTTTCTTAATCCAGTCTATCGTTGTTGGACATTTGGGTTGGTTCCAAGTCTTTGCTATTGTGAATAGTGCTGCAATAAACATAAGTGTGCATGTGTCTTTATAGCAGCATGATTTATAATCCTTTGGGTATATACCCAGTAATGGAATGGCTGGGTAAAATGGTATTTCTAGTTCTAGATCCCTGAGGAATCGCCACACTGCCTTCCACAATGGTTGAACTAGTTTACAGTCCCATCAACAGTGTAAAAGTGTTCCTATTTCTCCACATCCTCTCCAGCACCTGTTGTTTCCTGACTTTTTAATGATCACCATTCTAACTGGTGTGAGATGGTATCTCATTGTGGTTTTGATTTGCATTTCTCTGATAGCCAATGATGGTGAGCATTTTTTCATGTGTTTTTTGGCTGCATAAATGTCTTCTTTTGAGAAGTGTCTGTTCATATCCTTCGCACAATTTTTGATTAGGTTGTTTGTTTTTTTCTTGTAAATTTGTTTGAGTTCATTGTAGATTCTGGATATTAGCCCTTTGTCACATGAGTAGATTGCAAAAATTTTCTCCCATTCTGAAGGTTGCCTGTTCACTCTGATGGTAGTTTCTTTTGCTGTGCAGAAGCTCTTTAGTTTAATTAGATCCCATTTGTCAATTTTGTCTTTTGTTGCCACTGCTTTTGGTGTTTTAGACATGAAGTCCTTGCCCATGCCTATGTCCTGAATGGTATTGCCTAGGTTTTCTTCTAGGGTTTTTATGGTTTTAGGTCTAACATGTAAATCTTTAATCCATCTTGAATTAATTTTTGTATAAGGTGTAAGGAAGGAACGCAATTTCAGCTTTCTACATATGGGTAGCCAGTTTTCCCAGCACCATTTATTAAATAGGGAATCCTTTCCCCATTGCTTGTTTTTCTCAGGTTTGTCAAAGATCAGATAGTTGTAGATATGCGGCATTATTTCTGAGGGCTCTGTTCTGTTCCATTGGTCTATATCTCTGTTTTGGTACCAGTACCATGCTGTTCTGGTTACTGTGACCTTGTAGTATAGTTTGAAGTCAGGTAGTGTAATGCCTCCAGCTTTGTTCTTTTGGCTTAGGATTGACTTGGCAATGCAGGCTCTTTTGGTTCCATATGAACTTTAAAGTAGTTTTTTTCCAATTCTGTGAAGAAAGTCATTGGTAGCTCGATGGTGATGGCATTGAATCTATAAATTACCTTGGGCAGTATGGCCATTTTCACCATATTGCTTCTTCCTACCCATGAGCATGGAGTGTTCTTCCATTTGTGTGTATCCTCTTTTATTTCCTTGAGCAGTGGTTTGTAGTTCTCCTTGAACAGGTCCTTCACATCCCTTGTAAGTTGGATTCCTAGGTATTTTATTCTCTTTGAAGCAATTGTGAATGGGAGTTCACTCATGATTTGGCTCTCTCTTTGTCTGTTATTTGTGTATAAGAAAGCTTGTGATTTTTGTACATTGATTTTGTATCCTGAGACTTTGCTGAAGTTGCTTATCAGCTTAAGGAGATTTTGGGCTGAGACCATGGGGTTTTCTAGATATACAATCATGTCATCTGCAAACAGGGACAATTTGACTTCCTCTTTTCCTAATTGAATACCCTTTATTTCCTTCTCCTGCCTGATTGCCCTGGCCAGAACTTCCAACACTATGTTGAATAGGAGTGGTGAGAGAGGGCATCCCTGTCTTATGCCAGTTTTCAAAGGGAATGCTTCCAGTTTTTACCCATTCAGTATGATATTGGCTGTGGGTTTGTCATAGATAGCTCTTATTATTTTGAGATATGTCCCATCAGTACCTAATTTATTGAGAGTTTTTAGCATGAAGTGTTGTTGAATTTTGTCGAAGGCCTTTTCTGCATCTATTGAGATAATCATGTGGTTTTTGTCTTTGGTTCTGTTTATATGCTGGATTACATTTATTGATTTGCATATGTTGAACCAGCCTTGCATCCCAGGGATGAAGCCCACTTGATCATGGTGGATAAGCTTTTTGATGTGCTGCTGGATTCGGTTTGCCAGTATTTTGTTGAGGATTTTTGCATCGATTTTCATCAAGGATATTGGTCTAAAATTCTCTTTTTTGGTTGTGTCTCTGCCAGGCTTTGGTATCAGGATGATGCTGGCCTCATAAAATGAGTTAGGGAGGATTCCCTCTTTTTCTATTGATTGGAATAGTTTCAGAAAGAATGGTACCAGCTCCTCTTTGTACCTCTGGTAGAATTCGGCTGTGAATCCATCTGGTCCTACACTTTTTTTGGTTGGTAAGCTATTGATTATTGCCTCAATTTCAGAGCCTGTTACTGGTCAATTCAGATGCAACTTCTTCCTGGTTTAATCTTGGGAGGATGTATGTTTCAAGGAATTTATCCATTTCTTCTAGATTTTCTAGTTAACTTGGGTAGAGGTGTTTATAGTATTCTCTGATGGTAGTTTGTATTTCTGTGGGATCAGTGGTGATATTCCCTTTATCATTTTTTATTGCATCTATTTGATTCTTTTCTCTTTTCTTCTTTATTAGTCTTGCTAGTGGTCTATCAATTTTGTTGATCTTTTCAAAAAACCAGCTCCTGGATTCATTAATATTTTGAAGGGTTTTTTGTGTCTCTATTTCCTTCAGTTCTGCTCTGATTTTAGTTATTTCTTGCCTGCTGCTAGCTTTTGAATGTGTTTGCTCTTGCTTTTCTAGTTCTTTTAATTGTGACGTTAGGGTGTCAGTTTTGGATCTTTCCTGCTTTCTCTTGTGGGCATTTAGTGCTGTAAATTTCCCTCTACATACGGCTTTGAATGTGTCCCAGAGATTCTGGTATGTTGTGTCTTTGTTCTCGTTGGTTTCAAAGAACATCTTTATTTCTGCCTACATTTCATTATTTACCCAGTAGTCATTCAGGAACAGGTTGTTCAGTTTCCATGTAGTTGAGCAGTTTTGAGTGAGTTTCTTAATCCTGAGTACTAGTTTGATTGCACTGTGGTCTGAGAGACAGTTTGTTATAATTTCTGTTATTTTACATTTGCTGAAGAGTGCTTTACTTCCAACTATGTGGTCAATTTTGGAGTAGGTGTGGTGTGGTGCTGAAAAGAATGTATATTCTGTTGATTTGGGGTGGAGGGTTCTGTAGATGTCTATTAGGTCCGCTTTGTGCAGAGCTGAGTTCAATTCCTGGGTATCCTTGTTAGCTTTCTGTCTCGTTGATCTGTCTAATGTTGACAGTGGGGTGTTAAAGTCTCCCATTATTATTGTGTGGGAGTCTAAGTCTCTTTGTAGGTCACTAAGGACTTGCTTTATGAATCTGGGTGCTCCTGTATTGGGTGCATATACATTTAGGATAGTTAACTCTTCTTGATGAATTGATCCCTTTACCATTATGTAATGGCCTTCTTTGTCTCTTTCAATCTTTTTTGGTTTAAAGTCTGTTTTATCTGAGACTAGGATAGCAACCCCTACCTTTTTTTGTTTTCCATTTGTTTGCTAGATCTTCCTCCGTCCTTTTATTTTGAGCCTATGTGTGTCTCTGCACGTGAGATGGGTTTCCTGAATACAGCACACTGATGGGTCTTGACTCTTTATCCAATTTGCCAGTCTGTGTCCTTCAATTGGAGCATTTAGCCCATTTACATTTAAAGTTAATATTGTTATGTGTGAATTTGATCCTGTCATTATGATGTTAGCTGGTTATTTTGCTCGTTAGTTGAAGCAGTTTCTTCCTAGCCTTGATGGTCTTTACAATTTGGCATGTTTTTGCAGTGGCTGCTACCAGTTGTTCCTTTCCATATTTAGTGCTTCCTTCAGGAGCTCTTTTAGGGCAGGCCTTGTGGTGACAAAATCTCTCAGCATTTGCTTGTCTGTAAAGTATTTTATTTCTCCTTCACTTATGAAGCTTAGTTTGGCTGGATATGAAATTCTGGGTTGAAAATTCTTTTCTTTAAGAATATTGAATATTTCTCTGATGGCCAGTGATGATGAGCATTTTTTCATGTGTCTTTTGGCTGCATAACTGTCTTCTTTTGAGAAGTGTCTGTTCATATCCTTTGCCCACTTTTTGATGGGGTTGTTTGTTTTTTTCTTGTAAATTTGTTTGAGCTCATTGTAGATTCTGGATATTAGCCCTTTGTCAGATGAGTAGGTTGCGAAAATTTTCTCCCATTTTGTGGGTTGCCTGTTCATTACTGGGTATATACCCAAAGGACTGTAAATCATGCTGCTATAAAGACACATGCACACGTATGTTTATTGTGGCACTATTCACAATAGCAAAGACTTGGAACCAACCCAAATGTCCAACAAGGATAGACTGGATTAAGAAAATGTGGGACATATACACCATGGAATACTATGCAGCCATAAAAAATGAAGAGTTCATGTCCTTTGTAGGGACATGGATGAAATTGGAAATCATCATTCTCAGTAAACTATCGCAAGGACAAAAAACCAAACACCACATGTTCTCACTCATAGATGGGAATTGAACAGTGAGAACACATGGACACAGGAAGGGGGACATCACACTCTGGGGACTATTGTGGGGTGGGGGGAGGGGGGAGGGATAGCATTAGGAGATAAAACTAATGCTAAATGATGAGTTAATGAGGGCAGCACACCAGCATGGAACATGTATACATATGTAACTAACCTGCACATTGTGCACATGTACCCTAAAACTTAAAGTATAATAAAAAAAAAAAAAAGAATGTTGAATATTCGTCCCCATGTCTTCTGGCTTGTAGAGTTTCTGCCGAAAGATCAGCTGTTAGTCTGATGGGCTTCCCTTTGTGGGTAACCCGACCCTACTCTCTGGCTGCCCTTAACATTTTTTCCTTCATTTCAACTTTGGTGAATCTGACAATTATGTGTCTTGGAGTTGCTCTTCTCGAGGAGTATCTTTGTGGCGTTCTCTGTATTTCCTGAATTTGAATATTGGCCTGCCTTGCTAGATTGGGGAAGTTCTCCTGGATAATATCCTGCAGAGTGTTTTCCAACTTGGTTGCATTCTCCCCATCACTTTCAGGTACACCATTCAGATGTAGATTCGGTCTTTTCACATAGTTCCATATTTCTTGGAGGCTTTATTCCTTTCTTTTTATTCTTTTTTCTCTAAACTTCTCTTCTCGCTTCATTTCATTCATTTCATCTTCAATCACTGATACACTTTCTTCCAGTTGATCGCATCGGCTACTGAGGCTTCTGCACTCTTCACATAGCTCTTGTGCCTTGGTTTTCAGCTCCATCAGGTCATTTAAGGACTTCTCTCCATTGGTTATTCTAGTTATCCATTCGTCTAATTTTTTTTCAGAGCTTTTAACTTCTTTGCCTTTGGTTCGAATTTCCTCCTGTAGCTCGGAGTAGTTTGATCGTCTGAAGACTTCTTCTCTCAACTCGTCAAAGTCATTCTCCACCCAGCTTTGTTCCATTGCTGGTGAGGAGCTGTGTTCCTTTTGAGGAGGAGAGGTGCTCTGATTTTTAGAGTTTCCAGTTTTTCTGCTCTGTTTTTTCCCCATCTTTGTGTTTTTATCTACCTTTGGTCTTTGATGATGGTGATGTACAGATGGGTTTTTGGTGTGGATGTCCTTTCTGTTTGTTAGTTTTCCTTCTAACAGACAGGACTCTCAGCTGCAGGTCTGTTGGAGTTTGCTAGAGGTCCACTCCAGACCCTGTTTGCCTGGGTACCAGCAGTGGTGGCTGTAGAACAGCATGTATTGGTGAACCGCAAATGCTGCTGCCCGATCGTTCCTCTGGAAGTTTTGTCTCAGAGGAGTACCCGACCGTGTGAGCTGTCAGTCTGCCCCTACTGGGGGGTGCCTCCAAGTTAGGCTACTCGGGGGTCAGGGACCCACTTGAGGAGGCAGTCTGCCTGTTCTCAGATCTCCAGCTGAGTGCTGGGAGAACCGCTACTCTCTTCAAAGCTGTCAGACAGGGACATTTAAGTCTGCAGAGGTTACTACTGTCTCTTTGTTTGTTTGTCTCTGCCCTGCCCCCAGAGGTGGAGCCTACAGAGGCAGGCAGGCCTCCTTGAGCTGTGGTGGGCTTCACCCATTTCCAGCTTCCCGGTGGCTTTGCTAACCTAATCAAACAACTAACTCCTCAATGGTGGGCATCCCTCCCCCAGCCTCGCTGCCACCTTGCAGTTTGATCTTGGACTGCTGTGCTAGCAATGATTGAGACTCCGTGGGCGTGGAACCCTCCGAGCCAGGTATGGGATATAATCTTCTGGTGTGCCCTTTTTTAAGCCTGTTGGAAAAGCGCAGTATTAGGGTGGGAGTGATCCGATTTTCCAGGTGCCGTCTGTCACCCCTTTCTTTGACTAGGAAAGGGAATTCCCCGACCCCTTGCGTTTCCCGGGTGAGGCGATGCCTCGCCCTGCTTCGGCTCCCACACGGTGCGCTGCACCCACTGTCCTGTGCCTACTGTCTGGCACTCCCCAGTGACACGAACCTGGTACCTTAGTTGGAAATGCAGAAATCACCCGTCTCCTGCGTCGCTCACGCTGGGAGCTGTAGACCGGAGCTGTTCCTATTTGGCCATCTTGGCTCCTCCCGAAAAAAATATTTTTTAAAGGAACTTGTGGAGAGGACATTATTAGGTCACCTGACAAAATTGCAACATGAATGGTAAGTTAGATTACAATATATTAATGTATAGATACTGTATTAATATTGCACTAATCGTAACTTTTCTGAGGTTGATAATTGTATGGTAGTCTCTTCTTATCCCTAAAGGTTATGTTTCAAGGCTCCTGGCAGATGCCTGAAACTGCGGATAATACTGAACCATATATATGTTTTTTTTGATGCATACATAATTATGATAAAGCTTAATTTATAAATTAGGTACAGTAAAATATTACCAATAACTTATAATAAAATATAACAATTATAGCAATATACTGTAATAAAACTTATGTGAATGTGGTCTCTCTCTCTCTAAATATCTTAGTGTACTCTACTCAGCATCCTTCTTGTGAGAAAGTAAGACGACAAAATGCCTATGTGATGGGAGGAAGTGAATGTTAGGCTACTGTTGACCCTCTGACAATATTCCAGAGGAAGGATTATCTGCTTTGGGTGATCCTGGATCATCGAGTCCGAAAGATGTCCATAGTTGGATATCAGGAGCAGATGTTAGTGACTAAGGGCAAGTACCAGGTAGACTCTAGACAAAGGGACAATTCATGTACCCTGCAGAATGGTGCAAGATTTCATCATGCAACTCAGAATGGTTCTTAATTTAAAATTTTTGAATTGTTCTTTTGGCTTAGGATTGACTTTGCGATGAGGGCTCTTTTTTGGTTCCATATGAACATTAGTTTTTTCCAATTCTGTGAAGAAAGTCATTGGTAGCTTGATGGGGATGACATTGAATCTATAAATTACCTTGGGCAGTATGGCCATTTAAATGATATTTATTCTTCCTACCCATGAGCATGGAGTGTTCTTCCATTTGTTTGTATCCTCTTTTATTTCATTGAGCAGTGGTTTTTAGTTCTCCTTGAAGAAGTCCTTCACATCGCTTGTAAGTTGGATTCCTAGGTATTTTATTTTCTTTGAAGCAATTGTGAATGGGAGTTCATTCATGATTTGGCTCTCTGTTTGTGTGTTATTGGTGTATAAGAATGCTTGTGATTTTTGTACATTGATTTTGTATCCAGAGATTTTGCTGAAGTTGCTTATCAGCTTAAGGAGATTTTGGGCTGAGATGATTGGGTTTTCTAGATGTACAATCATGTCATCTGCAAACAGAGACAATTTGACTTCCCCTTTTCCTAATCGAATACCCTTTATTTCCTTCTCCTGCCTGATTGCCCTGGCCAGAACTTCCAACACTATGTTGAATAGGAGTGGTGAGAGAGGGCATCCCGGTCATGTGCCTGTTTTCAAAGGGAATGCTTCCAGTTTTTGCCCATTCAGTATGATATTGGCTGTGGGTTTGTCATAGATAGCTCTTATTATTTTGAGATATGTCCCATCAGTACCTAATTTATTGAGAATTTTTAGCATGAAGTGTTGTTGAATTTTGTCAAAGGCCTTTTCTGCATCTATTGAGATAATCAAGCTGGAGGCATCACGCTACCTGACTTCAAACTATACTACAAGCCTTCAGTAACCAAAACAGCATGGTACTGGTACCAAAACAGAGATATAGATCAGTGGAACAGAACAGAGCCCTCAGAAACAATGCCGCATATCTACAACCATCTGATCTTTGACAGACCTGACAAAAACAAACAATGGGGAAAGGATTCCCTGTTTAATAAATGGTGCTGGGAAAACTGGCTGGCCATATGTAGAAAGCTGAAACTGGATCCCTTCCTTACACCTTATACAAAAATTAATTCAAGATGGATTAAAGACATATATTAGACCTAAAACCATAACAACCGTAGAAGAAAACCTAGGTAATACCATTCAGGACATAGGCATGGCCAAGGACTTCATGTCTAAAACACCAAAAGCAATGGCAACAAAAGCCAAAATTGACAAATGAGATCTAATTAAACTAAAGAGCTTCTGCCCAGCAAAAGAAACTACCATCAGAGTGAACAGGCAACCTACAAAATGGGAGAAAATTTTTGCAACCTACTCATGTGACAAAGGGCTAATATCCAGAATCTACAATGCACTCAAACAAATTTACAAGAAAAAAAAAACAACCCCATCAAAAAGTGGGTGAAGTATATGAACAACACTTCTCAAAAGAAGATATTTATGCAGCCAAAAAACACATGAAAAAATGCTCATCATCACTGGCCATCAGAGAAATGCAAATCAAAACCACAATGAGATACCATCTCACACCATTTAGAATGGCGATCATTAAAAAGTCAGGAAACAACAGATTCTGGAGACGATGTGGAGAAATGGGAACACTTTTACATTGTTGGTGGGACTGTAAACTAGTTCAACCATTGTGGAAGTCAGTGTGGTGATTCCTTAGGGATGTAGAGCTAGAAATACTATTTGACCCAGCCATCCCATTACTGGGTATATACCCAAAGGATTATAAATCATGCTGCTATAAAGACACATGCACGCTTATGTTTATTGCAGCACTATTCACAATAGCAAAGACTTGGAACCAACCCAAATGTCCAACAAGGATAGACTGGATTAAGAAAATGTGGCACATATACACCATGGAATACTATGCAGCCATAAAAAATGAAGAGTTCATGTCCTTTGTAGGGACATGGATGAAACTGGAAACCATCATTCTCAGCAAACTATCGCAAGGACAAAAAACCAAACACCGCGTGTTCTCACTCATAGGTGGGAATTGAACAATGAGAACACATGGACACAGGAAGGGGAACATCACATTCTGGGGACTGTTGTGGGGTGGGGGGAGAGGGGAGGGATAGCATTAGGAGATATACCTAATGCTAAATGACGAGTTAATGGATGCAGCACACCAACATGGCACATGTATACATATGTAACAAACCTGCACATTTTGCACATGTACCCTAAAACTTAAAGTATAATAATAATAAAATAAAATAAAATAAAGAAAAAAAAAGAAAGACAGGTGTTAGGGAGGCAGAAAAGCGAGGAAAAAGAAAGAGTGGCAATGTGTTAATTGGACACCTACTATGTTTTGTGTACTACTGTGTGCTATGCTACATGATTTCGTTCATGTGTTTTAAGAAGCTTTGCAACAATTTTGAGAGGTAGACATTACCATCCTAATGTATGCATATGAAAACTGAAGTTTTGGCTGCCTAATTAACTTCCCAAAGTCACAAGGCTCACATGTAAAATATACAGTTATCTGGAGCCAGGTCCATCTGATTTCAATGGAGAAGAGAAGCTTGTTCCCTGATTGTGGGCATTCCATTTATCTACCCTCATTTTAGTGTATGTTATTCAACACTGTTTCCGTATTCTTAGCGGTATTTTGAGTTTCTAAAATCAGGAGCACAGATTTGTCTTCCAACATCAGGCTAAAAATGCATTTAATTAAATTTCTCTTCATTTGAAACAAATGTTTCTTAAATTAAAAAAAAATTTTGAATTGTTAATTTTTTGGATTTTCCATTTAATATTTTCAGACTGTGGTTAACTTGGGGTAAGTGAAACCACAGGACGTGAACTGCAGATAAGGGGGGCTACTGTATTGTGGCTATGCAAGAGAACATTGCGTAGGAAATATATACTGAAGAATTTGAGAGTAAGAAGCAATTATATGTGTTATTTATTCTCAAATGGTTCAGAAAATCTACATATATTTATGTATGTATGTGTCTGTGTTTACAGAGGGAAAGAACAATAAGCAAATGAAGTAAAATGTTGGCAGTAGGTGAGTATTGGTAAAGAATATGTGGATGTTCTTTGTATTAATTTTATTTCTGCAACTCTTCTGCAGACTAAAATGATTTCCAAATAGAGAATTTTGTAAAAACTAGTCCTCAACTAGAAATATATTATTTCTATCAAAACAAAATAAATATAGTGAAAGCCTCTAATTCAGCGTTTGCTGGTGTGCTTATTTTATTGTTGTTTTTTCGGGAATGGCCTACAGACATTCATCTTGTTATCCAGTGGAAAAAAATATTTGAAATCATGAAAGTGAGGGAAAATTTCTTTGCTTAGTCTGTGGACCAACTTTTTTGCTTTTCTCACATTAATTTGTCCCTTCCTTTTGTTATTCTAGTTGCTAACCAGTCAACAGTGGCTTGTTTTTATGAACAATAAATTGCATACGAGTTTTACTTTCAGATTTTATGGAAGAGAAGTAGCTAAGGGCAGAGACCGTGTCTTATAAATTTCCTGAGTGTTTTTATTGAATAATTTTTAAATTCACCTTTCTAAAAGACTTATAGCTTGGAAATAATGTACATAGATTACTTCTTCTGCTTTTTACTACACATGTAGATTTTGTGGGAATCACATACGGTTTAGAATCTGTAAGAATTAGCAATTTCACATATTTTAATATTTGGGATTCTTACAAAGGTGCAAGTTAAAAATATCCTGAAACTTTTAAGATATTTCTTTAGGGAATGTATCTATTCTGAGAGAATATCAAGTTCCTCTGAGCTGTTTTTAAATTTTTAGATTTTTAAGACTTTATAATCAGTAAATTCCTTGCTGATGTCGTCATAATTTATGCTTTTATTATGAATTTAATTGGAAACTTACAACACCAAAGAATTGATAAGAACTACATCAAACTGGCGATTACAAATAAAATGATAATTACAGCCTATAAATAAAATGATAATTACAGCCTCCCTCAGAAAACACAATAAGAATCAGTAGATTAAAATCTACCAACATTTGAACACACAAAAAGAATGTCAAATAGATAAATAAAAGGTTTCACTTAAGAACCGAATCTTAATAATCATATCTTCATTACTCTATCATGGATATTTTCTGGTACAAGGAGATTTATAATATTGCTGTCCGAGAATTCACACATCGAAGATATCTACAGTTAAACTAGTGAAAGAATCTATTTGAATCTCTCTGCCCCACTCTCTCTAAAAGGATATTTCAAGTGTCCAAACGCTAATAGAATTGCTGCAGGCTCTTAGTTTAAATTTTAGATTCACTGTCTAAAATAACTCCAGGACTACAGTGTGGCACATTAGTTATTTCTAAAATATTGTAATGGATCACAATAACTCTAGTGAATATTGTTGAAGAAAAAGAAAATGAGTAGAGAAATTAAAAGAAATATAAAGAAGGCTTTACATAAATTAAGAAAAGTTATTAGAGAATTTGGTTCAATTCTGGGATTTTGAGCTGAATACATGGAAAAAAACATATGGAATTATGCATTGAAACAAAATCATTAGCATAAAAGATTAAGTATGTAACTTAAAAGGAGTTTGATGATACTCTAGCGTGACCGTTGATTATATCAGATCACCCTTAATTTCCATTATTGATTCTTACGAAGAACAGTTTAGACATATCTAGATGAGTGTGAAATAATAGCTTTAATAAAAAGGAAATAAAAAGGTTATTTTGTAGCTGGTCCACTTCTAAGTAGACTTTTGAAATTTGAAAACTTTGTATTGTCATTGTCTTTACAATTTAAAGAGGGCTAAAAATGGTAGGGTCAATTTCTTCATACTATACAAATGTTATTACTCACAATAAATGGATATGCAGTACATTTTAGTGCAAGTATTTAATCATTATTATAAAATAGAAAAATTATATTCCATTATAACTTACAGTATTAATATAAAAAACTGGATCAGATATATTGTTTTCTCTATTAAATATGATTAAAATATGTTTAATTACTCATTTCATTTGCCTGCTTTGGATTCTTTGGTTGTAACAATGTCAATTATAGAATATATTTTATGGTTCCTGACTATTGCAGTAGATGAAACAAGACAATAAACTGAGAAAATGGAACTCTTAATTCAAAGAGCAAAGGAGGAAACAAAAAAACCGCTAAATTTTATATTTGAAAACCACAGTTACGATACCCAAGCATGGAAAACAAACAAACAAAAAACCCTTTTCAATATATAATGATATGAAACATAATAATAATTAGAAACATTTTTAAAAGTTTGTAAAATTAAAAGTACTAAATTAAACATTCTTTTAAAACTCTTGTTACTCTAAACATATGTAGCCATCACAGACTGCTGCAGCCTCAAAAATGGTCCTTTTTTATCCCAAGTACATTAAACTATTTCCCTTAGGAAAAAAAAAAGAGCTTTTGATAAGACATATTCTGCCTCCTTTTGTATAATATAGTAAGCTAGGGGACTGGGATTTCTCTGATTAAATACTTAATGTTATCAGCACATGGTCTAGGTGCAGGCAAACTACCATGCATTAGCCAGTCTGGCCCACTACCTGTTTTCAGGAATAAAACTTTGTTGGAATACAGTTACATGCTTTGTTAATATACTGTGTATGGTTACTTTCATGCTACATCAGAGTTCAATAGATGTGACAGAGACCACCTGGCCTGCAAAACCAGAAATATTTCCTAGCTGGCCCTTTATAGGAAACATTTACTGACCACGGACTTATACTATTGTTATGCTAGCTCTCAAATTAATTGTAATATAGCTCTTCCAGGATACTGTTCTTCCCATTGTTTAATTTCAATATAAGCAATTCATACCTAGTTTTTTTTGTATCTATCTAATAGACTGGTTTATATTTTTTAAGGATTTCTGTTGTGAAACATAAAATAATGTTATTTCCTTAACAGTGGTAGTTGAGTTCCAATGTGTGCTTTTGGTGATATCTATGTAAGTATGCCCCTAACTCTGAACTCTTAAAATATAATTCTGTTTTCGCAGCATCATCCAAGACTACTGCTGTGGCTATGGCAGCGAGAATTTACTTTAGTATGTCTGTAGCTGTTGGCTGCTTTGATTGCGGACAGCATGTACGAGGTAGGGAAAAAAGGGAGGGTGCTGGAGAGTGAATTTTGCAGAAGAAGCACTTTTCTTGATTTAATTTTTCCATATCACAAAAAATAAATATGGAAAAGATTCAAATATGAGAAAAATTGTACATTCTAAAGTAGTAAAATTCGACTATATTTGGAAAGAACATTTAAAAATGTATAATTTAAGAAGGTGTTAATGAAAAACACTTGAGCACTGTGAGAAACAAACTTACCTGTCCGAACCCAAAGAATGGACTGAGAGAGATGGAGAACAGCAGAAGCGAGACTTTTAATGACAGTTTTCCAAGGTGGGGTGTCTGGTGGGCAGGCACACCCAGTGTGGTTACAACAAGCAATGTATGCCCTAGTGCTTAGATCCCTCCCCCTGTTCCTCATAGGCTGAGTACTATGGGATCACAATCTTCCAGGATGTTGTCTATTGATCACCGGGTAGGAGAGTTTTAGGTGTTTTCTTTGGGGTTGTCACTGCATTTTGTTGCAGCCAATAATACATTGCAATCATAGTCAGCTCAGGGGCTTTTTAAGTATTTGACTTATGACATAGGTAGTCAGGCAAGCTGAGAAGAATAGATAAAATGAGCAATGTTGCAGGTTAGTAAACTTTCATTCTAGACTAAACGCAGGTTCAGGTGAGGGCAGCTAAGGGGTCCCCGACAAGCAGGTGCCAGCTATTAAAGCAGGGGCCTAGTATATTTTGTCTTTCCATAGTTTGCGGACCTATGCCTACTCGAGGCACTTTGTCTTGGAAATGGACCACCATTTATACAATTACCTACAACTCCTTCCTCTTTTTCTTTTTACCCCATTTGTCCAATTTCCACATTTATTTGTGTGTCCTTTGGTGCTCAAATTGTTTTAAGAGCTGTTGACTCTCTTCCTCATAAGAGAGTAGGTCTGAATTTGTTTCTAATAGCAGTTAATATGTTATGGGCATTTGTTGATGACTGTTTCAATCAATTTTTGGGTTAACCCTCTAACGTAGGGGATAATGCAATATCATAAAGCTGTTAGGACTTCAGCCACTATTATAAGGGATATTCGAATGGAAGCTACCATTCCTTTCCATTTCCGGAACTAACCTTCTAGCCAATCGGTAAATGGGTCATCAATTCTGGCATTTTCTGCCAATTCATTGGCTAGAGTTGTTAACCCTTGTAATGCTTTTGTGATGGTTCCATCTGGGGCAGTATTGTTGGGAAGGAAAGTGCAACCTTTTCTGCCCAGAATAAGACACACACCCACTTTCTCTGCTAGGATTATGTGTAATGTAAGTCTGTTTTCCCAGGCCACTAGGCTGGTGGCATCTAACTGGCTAGCCATTCCTTTGAGAGTTTCTGGAATATAGTTGATTAATCTTGTTGATTTTAACAGATGTAATTACTCCAATCCACATTTTTATTAATAGTTGACCACCAGAAGAGTACTGATTCAAACCCAGCAGCTATTTGGTTTTGGACCTTAAATTTATTAGGTACTCCTCTAGGGAATCCTATTAAGTCAATATAAATGTTGGGATCAAAAGAATTTGTTAAATCTCTCCAGCTTCGGTGGCCATGTGGATTCTTGGGGATCTTATGAAATGCTAGAGTGATGGGAATGGCCAATTAAACTAAGGCACAAAACCTGGTCCAGTCGGACAGTAACGGATCACAGAGGTTTCTTTTCCCGCAATACCACTAGACATCAGCCTGGGGTATATAAAGAGCCGAGTAGTTGCCTTTGTTTGACTCACCAGTAACTTTTAGGATGAGGGTATAAGTTGAGAGTTCTCCCACAGGCTTACTGAACTCTGCCCCCTGCCTAGAGAGGCAAGAGGAGTGGTTCATATTCCCTATGGAGAACAAGGGGATTGCTCTAGAATCTGATCTCCACAAGGTGGGAAAGAGCAATGATAGACTTGCAAGTCTCATTTCCTTGTGCATCCCTGTCCTCGTAGAGCCAACATGCAACGCATTCCTTCGGGATTAGTATCCCATCCTCGGGGAAAGAGAACCACCTGTGCCTGAGGTCGACCAGCAGAGCATGTGTAACAGTCACTCTTGAGAGCTAGTACCAAAAATTTGACCCGTGCAACCCAAGCATTTACATCTCCATATCCAGTCTCAATTTCTAAAGTCTGCCTTTGGTCAGTTATCTAAATTATTTTTACTCTCTTAGGGTCATTGCCTGGCATGTTAAAGGAAGTGGTGGGAACAGGAGTTATAATAAGCCCAGGTGAGCTAGAGATTGTTGGTAATTAGCCTGAGAGCTAACCATCCTGTGGGGCCCCTTCCTGAGACATCTATTCCTAAGCCATACCTCCTTGGTTTCTGGTCTAGAGTAGCTGGGTTGTTTGTGGCTATTAATATAGGACTGCCTTCTAAATTTCCACAGTTACATGGCATGGCACCTTTATATAAATGTATCTTATCCTTTCAAAGTTTATTTTTGGATGAATGACTTACCCAGCCTTGAAATTGAGTGGTCAACCAGACCTCATTCCAGCTAGCACAGGGCTTTTCTGAGAGGGCCCAAGAGTGGCCTGTTTCAGGACACAGATATTTGTCTGCTTATGACAACTGACTTTGGTTTGTTAAATTCCCCCAAGGTAAGATTTGGCAGGCATCAAAGTTTATACTTTGGGAGGTGGAGGTCGTAGTTTTGTTGACTATTAGTTTGATTGGATATTCTACTTCTACTAGACCCCATCCCATATTTGCATACCTCTCACCCTTGGTATTACGATTAATCCTAAACACATACACCCCAATGATGGAGCCCACTTATAGTTCCCTTCTAGTTTTTCTCAGAGTTAACTTTACGGGCTCCTCAGGTGATCCATATACACTTCCCATTAGTCCTTTCCCCTCCATTTCAGGTTCTCTTTTACCAGTCCCTTGACCCATGTGTAATCAGTCCACCCTCATTTAGCTGTTCTCGGTGGTCAGGATCACTTGATAAGGACCTTCCCAGCTTGAGTGCAGCTTGTCTTCCTTCCAGGTCTTAATCAGCACCAAGTCACCAGGATGAAAGTGATGAATCATGAACTCAAGAGGCGGAGTTTGAGTCAGAAGTCCTCTTAACCTAAGGGATGACATAGTGGAGGAGATGGCCAGTATATAATTTCTTAAAAATTGGTCTTTGGGTAGGGCATAGTGGCTCACGCCTGTAATCCCAGCACTTTGGGAGGCTGAGGCGGGCGGATCACCTGAGGTCAAGAGTTCAAGATCAACCTGGCCAATGTGGTGAAACCCCATCTCTACTAAAAATATAAAAAATTAGCGAGAGGTGGTGGTACATGTCTGTAATCCCAGCTACTCAAGAGGCTGAGGCAGGAGAATTGCTTAAACCTGGGAGGCGGAAGTTGCAGTGATCTGTAATCGTGCCACTGTACTCCAGTC
Source organism: Homo sapiens (assembly GCF_000001405.40). Lineage (NCBI taxonomy): Eukaryota > Metazoa > Chordata > Mammalia > Primates > Hominidae > Homo > Homo sapiens. Next base: position 146,054,114 of record NC_000007.14, read on the forward strand.
TGGGCGACAGAGTGGGACTCCATCTCAAAAAAAAAAAAAAAAATGGTCTTCAGTTTCCATAATAGGTAAGTCTATAGCCCTGCCTAAATAGGGGGACCCATATAATAACTTGTAAGGAGACAATCCCAAGTCTTCCCTTGGGGCTGTGCTAATCCTAAGGGGCACAACTGGGAGACATTTGGTCCACAGCATTTTAGTGTTTAAGATTGGTTTGGTAGTATGCTTTGTGAGAGTTTTATTCATTCTCTTTACCTTTCCAGAGGAGTGGGGATGCCAAGGAGTGTGGTAATCCCATCTAATGTGTAAACCTCCCATAATTTCCCTTAGCACCCTCAAGGTAAAGTGGCTCCCTTTGTCTGAATCAATATTTTCCACCAAGCCAAATCTGGGTATAATTTTTGCTGTAAGGTTATTTTGATGACATTCCCGGCAGTGGCAGTCAGGAGAGGGAAGGCCTCCACCCAGCCAGAGGGATTACTAGTAGATACTTTAGTCTCCCTATTTTGGGCATTTCTGTGAAATCTACTTGAATGCTTTGTAATGGTCTTAACTTGTGAGGCCTTTCTCTGGTAGTCTTTTCTAACTACCTTTTTATTTATTCTTTGGCAGGTCACACAACCTCCACACACTTGTTTAGCAATGGCATAAATTCCTATACACTCATAATTCTTTAGTATTGCCTCACCCATAGCCTGGGGACCCCAATGACTCCCATTGCGCAGTATGAACATAAGGTCTCTTATTATGGGTTTGCTTATCATTTCTCTCCCATCAGGCAGCACTCATCTCCCATCTTCAGTTTGAGTGGACACTATCTTGCCCGGTTTTTCTTTATCTTTGGAAAATTGGGGCCTTAATACTACTTTAGGGATATTTGGGATTAGGCTAAATAACTTCTTCCTCCAGGGAGGCTTGCTTAGCAGCTTCATCAGCAAGCCTGTTTCCTAGAGCTTTTATAGCGTTCCCTTTCTGATGGCCATTTACATGAACTGTGGCTACCCCTGCTGGAGGCAGGAGGCTTTCTAAAACCTGTGTGATTAGTTCTCCTTGTACCAATTCTTTCCCTCTGCTGTTTATTAGGCCCCACTGTGTCTAAATTTTTCCAAAGCTGTGTACCAATCCATAGGCATATTTAGAATCAGTATACATAGTGTCCTCTTGGTACTGTTGCTTTCTCCCAGTTATGGAATTTCCCTGTTCAAAGACAAAGAGGTCCCTACTCTTAGCGTCTAGGGGACATGCCCAGAATACAACTTTCGGATCCACTACGCTGAACCACTTACTTTCATAGGGTATTTTATTAAGGAAGGTGTCAGGGTTAGGCATCACAAGTTGGAGAGTTGGGACAATTTGATTTATAGCCCTTAGATCTTGCACTAATCTATATGATCCATTGAGTTTCTTGACTGGGAGAACTGGACTTGTTGCATGGTAACATGCAGGGTTCTGATATTCCAGCTTTAGTTAATCCCTCTGTTACCAGTTGAAGACTTTTTCTTTCTTCAACAGGTATGGGATATTGTTTTCTGCAAACTATTTCTTCTGGTTGTTTTAGTTCAATCTGTAAGGGTGTGATTTTTAATCCTTCCCTGTTGTCTTCCTTAACCCACACAAGGGGATTACTTTTACTTTCTTCCTTCTCTGTTAGGAGGCCCATCATTATTTTTATTTGTCCCTCCCCTACTCCTAATTCTAAACCCAGTCCAACAATCAGGTTTCAACCCAGGAGGTTAGTTCCTGCTTTGGGAACACATGAGAGTGACTCCTTCCTTTGTTTTGATCCCAACCTAGTTAACATTTTATTGACTATCGGAACCTGAAATCCCTCCCTCTTCATACCTGATATTGTTAACTTTTCCTTAGAGAGTTCTGTGCCCCTGGGTTGGTATATTAGAAAGGAGCATGCTGCTCCACTGTCGACTAAAAATGTCATTTCATTGCCTTTGGTTCCCACCCTCAAGTTTATCAAGGGTTCCTGGTGGGACCTACTCAAAAGGAACCCCTGATCCCTCTAATCCTCATCAAAATTCATTATGGGGATGACCTTCTCTTCCTTTTTCCATTCCAGACATTCTCTTAAGATGTCCTGGTTTCCCACATTTGTAACATCCACTTGTAGTCTTAGGAGTTTTTCCCTGTATTTCCCTCCTGTCTCTTTGCTGAGACCTAGTGTTCTTTTGTCTCCTTTGAGAGGGGTCTTGATCTAATCTCTTTCTAACTACTTCCTTTACAGTGGAAACCATGATTTTTGCCTTTTGTTTCTGTTTCTCTTCTTCTCTTCTTATAAAAACCTTTTGAGCTTCCCTCGGTAATTCCTTTGGCTTCTCATTCCATCCATTAATCTTTTGTAGTTTCTTAGTAATAGCAGGCCAGCTTTTAGTTACAAAATTAACCTTTAAAAGGCCTCACTGGCTAGGCATGGTGGCTCACACCTGTAATCCCAGCACTTTGGGAGGCAGAGGTGGGTAGATCACCTGAGGACAGGAGTTTGAGACCAGCCTGGCCAACATAGTGAAACCTTGTCTCTACTAAAAATACAAAAATTAGCCAAGCGTGGTGGTGGGTGCCTGTAATCCCAGCTACTTGGGAGGCTGAGACAGGAGAATTGCTTGAACCAGGAGGCAGAGGTTGCAGTAAGCCAAGATTGTGCCATTGCACCCCAGCCTTGGCAACAAGAGCAAAACTCTGTCTCAAAGAAAATAAAAATAATAATAAATAAATAAAAAATAAAAATAAAAAGGCCCTTCCTGACTGGGTCCCTCGCTTCTAATCCTGAGTATTTTCTCATTTGATCCCTGAGCTTCTGCAGAAACACAGAGGGAGTCTCTTCTTTTTATTGTTGAATCTCAAATGCTTTCTAGACATTTTGTGTCCTAGGAGTGGACTCTTCAGTCCACCTAATTAGTTTCCTAAGGACTTGCATTTGGGTCTGATTCCTGGGATCATTATTATCCCATTCAGGACCCGTATTTGGGAATTTCTGCCCAGCTGGCAGGTCTCCTTGCCCTGGAGGATGCTGTCTTTCCCAAATAGTCATGGCTTCCCTTCTAATCATTTCCCTCTCTTCCCCAGTAAACAGGATATTCATGATAGACATAATCTCAGCCCAAGTATAAATATTGGGTCCTAAAAATTGATTTAGCTATTCTGCTAAACCAAGGGGATCCTCTAAGAGTGACCTCATTTCTTTTTCAAAATTTCTAATTTGAGGACTTGTTAAAGGCCCACTCACAAATCCAACTTCTCCCTGCCCCACAGGGCCTTCTCTAAGAGGGAACATGTTTAGACATCTGCTGTTTAGAGGAAACAGGGAAATTCTCAATGTCCCTGCTACATTTTTCTAATTCTTTCCTCAAGTTCGGCTAAGGATTTAGGGGACCAGTGGGTTTAGTTCCTTCATGACCTCCAGATTTCTCTCCCTCTGGCCTCCCTGTTTCCCCTGTTTCTTCCTGTTTCTTCCTGTTCCTTATTTTGTGAGCTGTATGGAAGGGGGAAGCATGTTAGCAGATCCCAGGCCTTTTTATTGGGCAAGGCTATGTATTATGTTTCTTTTCTTCTTCTTTGAGGGGAAATATGGGGGCTAATTCCCTGGTCCAACAGAGAGCATAACCTATCTCTTCTTGTGAGAATGGGATTTTATCATTCACATAGAGAATTAAAGCTTGGCCCACCCAATCCTCTTCTGAGTCACACTTAGGCCAAAAAACCGAGGGTTTACAAATGGGTCTTTGGGCCAGATAAAATAGCAAAACTTTGTTATCTTTCGCTTTTCTTTGTCGCTGGTTCAAGTGTTGTCCCTCCAAACCTGCAGCATTCTCCCCAGTGCACTATCCGGGGGAATGTCAGAAGGAGTTTCCTTGGTTCCCTCTTTCTTTTGTTCCCTAGCCCTAGAATTCCTATTTACCATTTTCGGTCAGTCACTGTGTCTGAGCTTTTCCCTGTGTACTCACCATTCCCTACTGGAGGTTTCTTGCACAACCCGAGAATCACTTTGTCTGTCTGCAGCCATTTCCCTCGCAGGAGAATGAAATTGCAGATTGGGACTCTGCAGTTTCTTCTTATCTAAGATAAGTCTCAGTCACACACACTTAACCTCTGAAAACGCCCAGACAGAGCAGGCCATCTAAATTGGGTGGTTCGCATCTCTGCTCTTTACAGGAATCCCACTGTACACAGGCACAGAGATTCCGGACAAGCCCCAGTTTGTGAGAAACAAACTCACCCATTTAACCCAAAGAATGGACTTAGAGACACAGAGAAGAGCAGAAGCAAGACTTTTAATGACAGTCTTGCAAGATCTGGTGTCTGATGGGCAGGCATGCCCAGCATGGTTACCACAAGCAATTTATCCCCTTGTGCACAGGTCCCTCCCCCAGTTCCTCATAGGCTGAGTACTATGGGGCCACAATCTTCCTGGACATTGTCTGTTTGTCATCGGGTAGGGGTTTTAGGTGTTTTCTTTAGGGTTGTTTGTCTGCATTTTGTTGCAGCCCATAATGCATTGCAATCATAGTCACCTCAGGGGCTTTTCAAGTATTTGACTTATGACCTGTGTAGTCAGGCAAGCTGATAAGACTAGGTAAAGTGAGCTATTTTGCAGTCTAGTTAACTTTCATTCTACACTAAAGTCTTTGGTTCAGGTGAGGGCAACTAAGGGGACCCCAACAAGTAGGTGCCAACTGTTAAAGCAGTGGCCTGGTATATTTCCTCCTTCCATAGTTTGCAGACCGAAGTCTACTCGAGGTACTTTGTCTTGGAAATAGACCATCATTTACATTATTTCCTACAGGCAGCAGCTGTCTGAAAGGAAAGACAAGGCATAATAGCTGAGCAGACAGGAGACTAGGTGAGGTGGCAGGAAAAGGAGACCCACTGGATAAGGAGATGTTGGGTGATATGTGGCCACAGAGAAGAATGAGAGAACACCCAAAGCTTCTATGTGCCTGTGAGAAAGGCCTGGAGGCTAGCTGAGAGATAAATAAATACCAGACATGAAGCAGTGTTTAATTTGGAACATGATACACATCAGTGGGTGCTGTGTGAACTACACAAGCAGAGCCTGAATAAAAATGGAATACCTCAGCAGACACCAGTGTTTGAAGATGATCATGTCTGTGCATGAGATGGCACAAAGAACACGGAAGCAAACAAGAACACACAAAGGACTAAATAGTGTTCCAAGTGTCCTAACTCCCAACATCATGGCTCTAGAATGACATACCAGGAAGAAGCTCGTAGTGTTGGGATAGGCTGGAGTGGGGATAGAATTGGGGAATTTTAAACAGACTCAGTTTGAACCCATAACACTAAATGTACCTAGAATTGACTGATATGCTTTTTCATATTACAAATAATTCAAGACTTAAAATGAAAATTTTACTTGGTGATCAAATAATAAATGTCTTGCCAGCTGAAGGATGGCAGAGGGAAGAGTGGAGAAGGGACTTAGTATGTCTTCTTATTTTTCTCACTATCTTTTCAATACCTAACTCAAAAGTATTAAAACTTATATGTTAATGGCTGAACTACTTTCTTAGTGAGGCAATGATAGGAGCCCTTTGTTCTTTCCATGTTTAGAAGTATAAAGATATATATATATATATATATATATATATATATATATATATATATATATATATATATACACACACACGCATGCCCTAATGAGGTTATTTTGTGCTACTAAATCAATAATTCACACATTGATAATCATAATATAGAAAATAAATGAATTTGGTCTTTTGTCTTTTCACTTAGAAATCACTCCAAATACTTATTCAAATTGCTTTAACTTTTGGCACATATGAATGTCCCTTAAAATGGTAAGCTCATGTATAGAAAAACTTTTAGTATTATATTTTACTGACAAAGAACTTGCTGAAAATGCTTATATGTCATATTGGATGACTAGAAATTCATATTCTTTATCAATTTTCCTTTTCTTAGGAAACTGAATATATTTGTATAAGACAAAACTGTATAATGATGATCTAATTTTCCTTTCATAGCCCTTACAATATACTTAAATTTCTCTTTACCACTAATTTTGGCTTCATTCAGTGGTTTATTTTTTATTTTCTTTCAATTTATTCCAAATGATTCTAAAATAGTATTTTAAAATGTCTAATAGACTATTCAGAAAGAAGGAAGCACTCTCATAACAAATAGTATCTGTAATTATGTCAATGAAACTCAAATAACAGTATCATCTGCTCCTTTAGATTCTACCAGATTTGAGGGCCACAGAAAGGTTGCCAGGAATCAGATAGATCCAGACCAGGGTTAGATGTTTCATCTAATAGCAATGATATTATCTCCTTAACTTGAGACTTTGTAAAGACAGGAAAAGAATTAGTAGTGAATACCTGAACCTACTGTATAGGATGAACTATAAGCAGTGCACCTGACAATATAGCTCACTGAGAATTAGACTGGGGTTTGCATGGAAATTGTAGATTAAATCTGAGAACTGGCATCTTAACAATACTGAGTTTTTCCATCTATAAATGGATATAGCTATTTTTGACAGTGTTTCTTGACCTCCTTCCTCAAAAGTTTGCAGATTTCAGCATATCTCCTACACATATTTTGTCAGGTTTATACCTAAGTTTATACATTTTTTTGATGTTAATGCAAATGGCATTAACTTAAGAAACTTTTTAAATTTTGATAGTTTATTGCTGTCATACAGAAATGAATGGATTTTGTATTTTAAAATACATGCTTTTAAGGTATATATTGAAATTAAAATGTTGACACTATAAGGAACATAAATCTCAATTTAGATTTAATTAATGTCATCTCTTATCCCTTGTGAGAAAGTAAAGTAAAATAGCTTATATTTTGTGACTTTCATCTCCTGTTTTGCCAGTTGGGTAGGAAACGTTGTACTTTAATGTATCATTAATAGTTATGATTAATGGAGATAGTTAAACGTAGCAGTACTAATGGAGAAAGACAGTGAAGATGGGTACTTTTGTGAGTAATGCTATTGAGCTTTTAATTAATTGACTATTACCTAAATATAAGCTATTCATAGAACTCGTTCTCATTCTCCACTCCCACTTCCTCCAGACAAGAAAGACAATAAAATCCTGGAAATTTTGTCTACCGACCTATAAATTCCAATAAATATTATATTTACACAAACAGTTGAAGCATCTCAAGACATAATCTATTTTAATATTATTTTAATGTCACTCAACTTGTGATTGAAGAGATTTTCTTTGACACGAACTGCTAATTATTCTGAACATAAATTTAGCAGTCTGTAATATAGATCATTCCTAAGAAATGAAAATTTGAGGCAGCAGTAAAGGCAAAATGGCATAAGATTGGAATTTAGAGGCCTCCAGACAGCTGACACTTTCTAAATTAAATAAATACATGAAACTCTGTGGTTCTTTCATCCAGCTGAAATGACATAGTGCACATCAAACATTATACAACATTCATTAGCATTATAGCAGTGCACATAGCAGGATCTTGCATTTTTTAAAATAATAGTTCTAGAATTGTTTGTAATCTCAAAAATACACATTCTTAACCTTTGTAAGACATTTGCTCTGGCAAAAAGACATTTGTATATTAAAAAATAAAGATTTGAGGAAGGATAATATAAAAACATAGTAAGCACAACTAAAGATATTTTTAAATGCTTTAAAGATCATATGGGGGATATAATAACTGTCTTGTGGGAAAGAGAGACCATTACGTCTTGTGACTTTTGTTGCTCAAAGTACATGCATACTTACAATGGGAGCATATAAAAAAGAGAGTAGATGTGGAGGTTTTAGTAAATGATTAGACTATCATGATGAAATTACTGTCTGAAACTGCAGTTTTTCAGGAATAGTGAAAACATCATTGGAATAAACTAAGACATCTACTAGGATTTGAGAAGTGCAACATAAAATGTCATAGAAGTCATGTATTTGTTTCTTCAATAATATTTTTACTGTGCACCTGCTACATGCTAGGGTCACAGTGTTAGGCAAACCACATATGGATCCAATATTTTAAAGCCTAAACCTAATCACACCAGTCAATGAAAACTTGCCAAAAAATAGTAGTTACTTTAAATAAAAATACGTATTTCTATAGAAGATAAAACAGAAAGCTAGCCTAATGTGGTGGCAAGGATCAAGAAAAGGCTACCTGAAGAAATGTAACTTAAACCACATCTTAAAGGTAGACAGGAGGCTAACTGGATGGAAATGGCTTACCAACATTTTTCCATTGGTGGCAGTAGAAAAATGCTCTAACAAAGTTGCATTGTAATTCCAGGTTTTATCCAGTTCTGCTGCAATAACCAGCAACCCTAAAATTTTAGTGGTTTATTACAACCACAGTTGTTTTTTCTCGCAATCACAAGTGTCTTTCACAAATCAACTGCACCTTTTTGTGTGTGATATGACAATCTCAGGGCAGAGGGAGAAGACCAATGGTAGACCCACAAGTTATCTCTTAAATCCTGTGCTTACAAGTGGCATACAATGCCACCACTCACATTGATTAGCCAAAGAAAACTACATGGCCAAGCCTTCCATCAGCAGACTCCATAAGTATAATCCTTCTACAGGGAGAGGAAGCAAATTTTGGAGAACAATAATACAATTTACCAAAATTTCTAGTAATTTTAAAGTTTATAATATGATGCTATTTCAAAACACCAGTAAAAATGCATTTTGAGTTTCTAAGTAACTTTCTCATTCTGATGTGTACCTTACCATTGGTAAAATGTTTTTGATCATTGTAACTGTGAAATGTGAGATTCTGATGCTAGAAACTGTGATATTGAGGGACAGATAATTTTTTTCTTGCATTCTATTTTCTCTGTTATTATATTGCTATTATTCCCATAAAACAAAATCTCATCTCTAACTCTTTCTATTTCTACTCACTTGATACAGAAATAAAGAGCATTTCTGGTATAGGAATCTTGAATTTCACACTGTCCTATGCTTTTATAAAGGCAGGCCTGAGTGGATATCAAGTGTAGACAATTTGGTTGACAAGACTTCATCAGGGCATGGCTATTTGTTCCAAATTGCAACCCAGTAAAACAAAAGGGATCTGGTCTCTTGTTATCGGCCGTGTCCCATGGGCTTTTCAGTACAATCGCAGCTTTCTTCGCAGTCCATGCTAATCTCTCCTTACACACTCAGTGTCATAAGATAGAAAGAATAACAAAATCCTTCCATTTTGGACATAACGGCATATTTCTCAGTGAAGGAAGCCAACCCATAAGCTACATCTTCTCTTATTATTGCCATACAGACAACCCTTAAACCATATGTTGTATTAAACACTAGAGTTCTTTTTTTCCACTGGAATTTATGCCTTTCTCATGTCAGTCCTTTGCTTTGAGTTCTACTTTTTGCCCCACTTTTTCTTCTCCTCTGCTTTCTAGACCACATTTTACAGGAGTCCATGTCAGCTGGCTTCCTCATAGTTTGTTCAATGGCAGGCCCCAGTGGAAGATGGAAGGGTGGGAGGTTGGGAGGAGGAAGAGATGGAGAATCACAGTAATCTCTCCCCTGGCTGTTTGCCTTGGCTGGTGTCTCTAGCAGTGGCTGCATCTCCTCCTTAGCACCAGCTCCAGCCAGACAAGCCCACCAGAATTTCAGGCGGAATCTCTCACCCTGATCTCTAGTGCTACCAATTCTTCCTTTGTTTCTTTCAGTTTAGGGGATTTGAAGCTTCCTGCTGTTGCTAAATTCTAGGTTGTCTTACTATCCGCTGTTTGGATTTTCTATGTATCCATCACCTATATAACAATTCCTTTGCTGTTGTGAATAGTGCCACAATAAACATACGTGTGCATGTGTCTTTATAGCAGCATGATTTATAATCCTTTGGGTATATACCCAGTAATGGGATGGCTGAGTCAAATGGTATTTATAGTTCTAGATCCCTGAGGAATCGCCACACTGACTTCCACAATGGTTGAACTAGTTTACAGTCCCACCAATAGTGTAAAAGTGTTCCTATTTCTCCACATCCTCTCCAGCACCTGTTGTTTCCTGACTTTTTAATGATCACCATTTTAACTGGTGTGAGATGGTATCTCATTGTGGTTTTGATTTGCATTTCTCTGATGGCCAGTGATGATGAGCATTTTTTCATGTGTTTTTTGGCTGCTTAAATGTCTTCTTTTGAGAAGTGTCTGTTCATATCCTTCGCCCACTTTTTGATGGGGTTGTTTGTTTTTTTCTTGTAAATTTGTTTGAGTTCATTGTTGTGGGGTGGGGGGAGGGGGGAGGGGTAACATTAGGAGATATACCTAATGCTAAATGATGAGTTAATGGGTGCAGCACACCAACATGGCACATGTATACATATGTAACAAACCTGCACTTTGTGCACATGTACCCTAAAACTTAAAGTATAATAATAAAATAAAATAAAGAAGAAACTAAAAAAAAAATTCCTTATAGCCATTTCTATCTGTTTCAGTTAAAGTGGTTTCATTTCCCAGCTGCATTCTGACTGATTATTTGCCCTAAATATCAATCATGGTCTATTCTTTTAACAGTATTACTTCAGCAGTATTAGAATTACAGTGTTTCACAATAACAAATCATCCATAATCATCATAAAGTGTATGATAAGTTGGTCAGTTATACAGTAAAAACCATACCTTAAAATACATGTTCTATTCACTTTGATTTAAAACATCCATCACCCTGGTGTCAATATAACAGCAGAAAATTTCTATTTCTCCTATTCTCTTATCCTATGTTGTCATTTATGGAGGTACCACTTTGTACTTAAAATACAGCCCTGATTGATAAACTGATCTAGTCTCTAATAACTACTTATTCATCCACTACACAAGAATGACTACTACCTGAACCAATTAGGATTTATGTGCTTCTTTGTAATCCAACTCTAAAAAGACTGCACACATTGGAAGACCTCAAGTTCTCTCCCCATGCATTGTGACAGTCATCATAGGCATTTTACCAGAAACTTCAAATCATATGCTGACATCTCTCAAAGTTTGTTTGGACTCATAGGGTTTATTTATTTGGTAAATATGTAGGCAACTTTTTACAGAATATTATAATAATCTGTATCTTGAAAGATAAGGAAAGAAGAGCAAGTTTTATTTTTTTCTTAGTAAACAGCAACTTAATAATAAAATAGCAAGAATAAAAACCTGATAGTGGCAAATATTTTTAATCTTCCTATTCTTGATAGACTCCTCTTCGAGCAAAATATTTAAAAAGAGAGGACCCATTTCAGCATCTACTTTGCTTGAATATATCTGATATCAGATGTAACAGCCATAATAACAGTGGCTGAACAGAAACAATGAAGTCATGCCCAAAATCTAATGGAAAAGGAGAAGTTGATGAACAGCATAAGGGCATTAGGCATTGTTTATGCAATGCAGAGTGTAAAAGATACTCTAATTTTGCCATATCCATCTCTCTTCACTCATAACTTTGGCACATTCCAGCTTACGCATTGCGAGTGCCAACATTTCTGTGACAGAGGGCTTCTTCTAGCTACTGGAGCCTCATTTCTGTTTGTGAAAAGGAATGGACGCTGGAAAATTAATGCCACCACCCCTTCACCCACATAGAGCACTGAACCAGTGAGTCTTAATTAAGAGTTGGTGTAGGCCGGGCGCAGTGGCTCACACCTGTAATCCCAGCACTTTGGGAGGCTGAGGCAGGTGGATCACAGTGTCAGGAGTTCAAGACCAGCCTGGCCAAGATGGTGAAGCCCCGTCTCTACTCTAAATACAAAAATTACCCAGGCTTGGTGGTGGGTGCTTGTAATCCCAGCTACTCAGAAGGCTGAGGCAGAGAATTGCTTGAACCCGGGAGGTGGAGGTTGCAGTGAGCCGAGATCGCGCCATTGCACTCCAGCCTTGGCGACAGAGTGAGACTCTGTTTAAAAAAAAAAAAAAAAAAAGTTGGTGTATACATCCTCACCTCCTTCACCTTCCAAAGTTCCCTAGTGGAATTAAATCTCCAACTGTCCATAGGGGACAACCCTCCTTTACTGGCCAAATTATCTTCTTTTTCTATATAGGAAACTTTCTATATAGGAGACTTTGCAGTCTCCTAATAATGGCTCCTTCACATCTCAAATGAACACTTGCCCTTGAATCTTCATCTCAAGATTTATTTCTGGAGCAACCCAAATTTAAACAGTTGGTACAAGAAGTTATCACTGCATCCAGTCCTATGTGTTCATGGTCCCCTGGTCGGATTGAGGACCTAGAGAAAGCAAGTTATGCATGAATCTGGCAGAATCCTGACATTGATTTCCTGAACTGTGGAGTAAGATCTATAATAGTATACAGGTCAAGTGGAAAACCCTGATATTGTATCCTTCTCAGAATCAGAATTGATACTGAATCTTTGGTAAGATGGCAGATATGAGTGCCATCCTGAAAGTCATAAAAATGCAGAAGCTGTGATCCCAATTTTATCTGCATTTGTTTCTCCAGTCTGGCTCTGAAAAACTGAGGTGGAAATATAATAGATGGTGGTGAACCACCACAAGCTCAACCAAGTGGTAGCCCCTGTCACAGCTGCTTGGCTCAATTTAATGTCTTCACTAGCATAGCACAAAATGCACTTTGGAATTTGGTGTTTAGCAGATTAATTATTTTCAATCACCATGAGAAAATGGAACCAGGCTGGGCATGATGGCTCATGCCTTTAATCCCAGCACTTTGGGAGGCCGAGGCAGGCAGATCACCAGAGGTCAGGAGTTCGAGACCAGCCTGACTGACATGGTGAAACCCCATCTCTACTGAAAATACAAAAATTAGCCGGGCGTGGTGGCACACCTGTGGCCCCAGCTGCTCGGGAGGCTGAAGCAGGAGGATCGCTTGAACCCAGGAGGCAGAGGTTGCAGTGAGCTGAGATTGTGCCACTGCACTCCACTCCAGCCTGGGTGACAGAGTAAGACTTGGTCTCAAAAAGAAACAAACAAAAAAGAAACAAGGAAAAACAAACAGAAAGAAAATGGAATCAGAAAAACTGCATTCACTTTTGAGTGCAATTTGAGTGCACTTTTGAACTGATAGAAATATATAGACAAATATATATATATAGAGAGAGAAATATATATCATATATGTTTTCTACTGTCACATGTAAGAGTTAATTTTATTCAGACTCTTTAAATTTTGACATCAGTATTTTTATATATATAATATATGATTTATATTTTATATATGTATCTTATATATCACATAAAACATATATATATATATGTTTTCTTTCTCAGGGTTATGTTAACTCCTTTGCTGTCAGTCATAACATAGGTTAAAAGGTGGTAAAGAAATTTAACATTTAATATTTTGGTTTTTTGGTATCAAAAATATTTGGTATCTTTTTCTGGTTTTTTAAGCTTTTACTTATAAGCACTGTATATTATTATAAACATGAAGGTTTTACAATTAATCACTTCGTATAAATCAGGAATATATATTGACAAGATTCTTGAAAAAATTAAAATATGGTATAATGCAAATGATTGCCTGTAGCTCAGGAAAATAGGATAAAATTAGGATAGAATTTGCAGAAACAGTATCATACACAGATTTAAGAAGTTCAGTTCTTAAAACAATTTGGATGAAAATTGGAGATAATGTGCTATTGAAAACCATGACAGGTGACTTGAAAATTGGCTGCAATGATGATAAAAATACTGATGTCAAAATTTAAAGAGTCTGAATAAAATTAACTCTTACATGTGACAGTAGAAAACAATCTTTTTACAGTAATATATTACATAATATAATATTTTAAAATATGTATATAACAAGATTTAAGCTAAGCATAATAGGTATGTATGTGACTATTTAATCAAATTTGTTTAAAAAATGTATATATTCAGGTTACCCATGGTGAGCGATTTCCACTCATCTAGCTGGCTCAGAAATGATCCGGCAGCATTTCCTCAAGAGAGCTTCTTGCCGCCAGGGTGTCTGTCTCAGTCAAGTTCAAGAGCCACTGTTCTATATTTGGAACCACTACTCCCATTTGACTCTCAGGCCTTGTTCTGCTCTGTGATTTGTAATAGCAAGATCTTTGCCTTACTATAATTTTTTTCTTCACTTTACAACAAATCATTTTTGCTCTGGGCTTCTTTTTACAAATCTTTTCTCTACCCAGTCTATTAGGAACTTCTCTATACATCTCAAAACTTATTATAAATATAGTAAAAGTATAATTATAAATATTATTTAATTTTCCCCAGGAACTTCCACAAACTTATATGAATCTCAGCTTTAGCCGAAAGGAGAAAGACATCTGTTATTATACTATTTACTTAACCATTTCTTTATTTTCAGCTTCCACTGTGTTTCTGAGTGTTTGTTTTTATAAATAATATTATGAGAAATAATTTGGTGCATAAATTACCCTCTCCATTCCTAATGCTTCTTTCTGAATAGATTCCTGGACCTGACAATAGCATTAGTTTAAGATCTTGATACTCTCAACCATATCTATTTTCATTTTCACTATAGGCAAATATGCTTTTATAATTATGTCACTACGGCTATTTCATTTTTTAATTAATAAATTGGTGACTAGTCATTTTAGATAAATTATATGTCAATTAAAAAGTGAATAATTGTCTCTTATTAATTATTTGAAATTTCTGTAAAGCCAAAGTTGATTTTCCTTTGTTAATTTAAAGCCCACACAACCCTTCCAAAAGAAAGGAAATTGACAACAATATTCAAAGGACAAATTTCTGGTCAGGACAAGACCATGATACAAAGCTGTGGAACCTCTACAAGTCTCCTCATTAAAAACCAAACAAAAACAACTAAGCAACTAAGAGAGAAAATGAAAAAATATATATGTTCACAGATAACTTTACCAAAACTAGTTGCAAAGCTGCCCCCACAATGCAGAATAAGTTTGAGGGAGGCCAGTATGAGGATAAGGATGGAGACAGAGGCAGCCTCCATCAATTATTTCTCTCATCGTGAAACACGGGTGAAGAGGTAATTCATCAGATGTGAACAAGCAATTCCCAACAGTATTCAGAGGAAGTATTGTTTTTGTACTATAGGAAGAGTCATCTGTTCCCACTAGTTTATTAAAGTTGTCGAAGATACTATGTTTTGAGTTGTATTTGCTCATATAAAGAGTAAATAAGAGACCCAAAGTTAAACAAAATAGTGTAGAATCCACTAAAATACCCATGCCCTTTATAGAATAATCCCCCATATACCTTATAATACAGAGAAAGGTTATATATTATATACATTTGAAGCCACCATACTGTTACAAATAGAATGAATGCAGGGAAAAAAATGACCCGACAAATAACAAAAGATTAAGGGTATGAGCAACATAGAATTAGTCAATGAAGTGAAGAGGCAGAGAGTACACTATAGCAAGAAGGTAACAATGAATTACAATCACTGGTTTAAAAGCGTTTGTAGTAATAACAAAAACCACACACAGACAAAGAAACGCCTTTGGAGCCAGAGCTGCGTGGGGGACAGAGGATGGACCCAAAGAGTCGAAAGATTTGAGTGCAGATTTGGTTTCCGATTATTCCTGAGTGCAGACAATTTGGCAAGTCACTTAATCTTTCTTCTTCACATCTGTAAAATGGGGCTTTTAATACCTGTCTAAGAGAATTAAAGAATTACCTGAGCTAATATTTCTGGAAGGTGTATCACAGTGGTTGGCATATCATAATCTTAATAGCTATCATATTTTACAGTCCTTTCTTTTGAACAGTGCATGATAAGCACACAATAAAATTTAGCTATTCTTATTGTAAAACAATTTGTCATTAAAGTACTAACTTTTAAAAATATTTAAATTGCAGAAATACCAAAGCCCACTAAATCCTTTCTACCAGGAAACATTAATGATAATTTTAAACAATATTATTAAAATGGAAAAATAAACCTGGATTATTAAAAAATTTATATTCTAAAATACCCAACAATATACATGTGGAGAATTATACAGGGGTTTATTAAGTGTTTATCGAACCCACTACAGGTATAAAAATTTGTATAAATGCTGTTTCTCCTGCATATTTATTTGTGCAAACATTTTAAAACAATTTAGACTTAAAATTTCTAAAGTCAGTTTTCCTTACTTTCCATTTGCTTAAAATTTTAATAAAATGTAATGCTTTAAATTAGTTTAGTACTATTTCTTACCAAAGCTATCTTTACAACTTTTAAAATAAGCTTTCAAAAGTATATTTTTATCAGTAAGCTGTGCTCTTTTGTTGACAAAAAAAGAAATCAAATATGAATAGGAATGAATAAAATTGGAACTCAGAACAGTTAACACTTGAATGGTTTATAAATTTCATGTTTTTCCTCCAATATTGTGAAATACATCATTCATCTAAGTATCTCACAACATGGGGTAACAAGTCATATTATGAAATGCTACAATGAAGAACAAATTTTATGAAGTATAAGTGTGTAAGTCAGTTGGTAGCATTGTAGTTTATATAATGGATGAGGAAAGGTGTTTCAAATCTTTTAGGCTTTCATACCCTCAGTCTGTCATTTACTAATACAAAATAAAAAAATCAAAGCAATATGCAGAGAGAAAAAGATAGAGACTGCTCCTAATGTCTATGAATGAATTACCTGAACATTGAATTGCATAAGATCTGATATTTCTCTTTAAAACTATTCATTCACCTGTAATGAACCTTTAATAATATGAGGCTTCCGGTAAGAAATAAGACAATAGCAGGAGAGGAAAACATTCCTTTGGTAAATGAGGCAGAGGATAAATTAAAATTCCTTAGTTTCACATTTTGAAGTCTAAATACTGTCTCTAACCTTGGTGTTACTATAGAGTCTTTCATCAAAATGCTTCGCGGTGTTCTATGAACACACCTTGCTTGCGTTGTTATCAGTGTGTACTCTTCTCTTCAATGCCCTTACCCTTCTTTGATGTGCCTTTTCGAGAGTTTCTTTTTTCATGAAACTTTTCAGATAATTGCAACGTACTGTGATTCCTCCATTTGTGGAATTCGTGGAAATTACTTACTTCCATTTCCTTCTCCTTAGTATCCGTTTTCTTTGGCAAGACCAAGCCTAAAGGCAAACAAGAAATATCCACATGCAAATAAAACAAAAAAAAATTACATACCACGACACGCACACATTTCAAATCTCTGTTTGCATCAAGACCCTATTGACTCCACATATACCATAGGATGTTTCTATCACTTCAGAACTTTCCTTGTTCCCATTTCTAGGCAAACACATACAAACACACACAGGCACATGCATGAACACATCCACAAACACTGTTCTGATTTTTTTCCATGTTAGTTTTGCTTTTACTAAAACTACACACAAAAGGCATAGTAGAGTATGTAATTTTTGATATTAGATTTGTTTGCTTAATGTGTTTTGAGATTCAGTCATGTTGTTATATAAATCAACAGGTATTTTTACTCCCGGGTAGAATTCAATTGTTTGAGTATACTACATTTGTTTATCTATTGTCCAACTGATAGATATTTGAGTCGTTGTCAGTTTAGAGCTGTCGTAAATAAATTTGTTATAAATATATCTTACAAAAGTATTTTTATGTATTTGTAATTTTATTTCTTTGGGATAAATACCTAGTGGTATAATTGTATTATAATATAAGTGTATATATTTAACTTTATAAGAAAACTGGAAATTGTTTTTCTTTTTTTATTTTTTTGAGATGGAGTCTTGCTCTGTCGCCCAGGCTGGAGCACAGTGGTGCTGTCTCGGCTCACTGCAAGCTCCGCCTCCCAGGTTCACGCCATTCTCCTGCCTCAGCCTCCCGAGTAGCTGGGACTACAGGTGCCCGCCACCACGCCCGGCTAAATTTTTGTATTTTTAGTAGAGATGGGGTTTCACCTTGTTAACCAGGATGGTGTCGATTTCCTGACCTCGTGATCCGCCCGCCTTGGCCTCCCAAAGTGCCGGGATTACAGGCGTGAGCCACTGCGCCCGGCCTGGAAATTGTTTTTTATGTAGTTGATCCATTTTAACTCCCACCAGCATTATATAAAAGTTCCAGTTACTCTACTTCCTTGTCAACGTGTGGTCTTATTTGCCTTTAATTTTGTTCATCTCATTGGTTATGAAATGGTCTCATGGTTTTAATTTGCATCTCTCTAATTAAAAAATATATTATACATTTTTAACATTTTTATAGATATTTTAATATTCTTTTATATGAGATGACTCTCCACACTTGTGACCACTTTTGAAAGACAGGTTTCTGGCTTTTTATTAATGATTTTTAGGAATTCTTTATGTATTTTGTAAACAAATCTTTTGTCAATTACATGTAATGTACTATAGTCTCCCAGCCTGAGGCTTTCCTATTTATTTTATCTAGTTGTGAATTCCAGTGAGCAGAAGTTTTAAATTGTGGTAAAATTCACATTTTTTTCCTCTTTCTTTGTATAATTAGTGTTTTCATGGTCTTACATAAGAAAGCTTTGCCTCCTTCAGGATCATATAGATTTTATTTTATGTTCAAGAATCTCTTATTTTATTTTCTGTGTTTTTATGTGAATCATGAGGTAGAAGTTAGTTCATTTTCTTCATTCATTTATTTATTTGTTCCTCTTCCATTAATTGCAAATTTCCTATTGAATAGTTGTGACACATTTGACAAAAATCAGTAAATCAAATATATGTGAGTCTATTTCTGGATATTATTCTATTCATCATGCATAGATTTTAAAATTATTATTTGAAGTCAATGAAGAGGGATTCAAAATGAATGATACAAGTTTCAGCCTCATGGAGGTTGAAAAAGAAGAGAATATTGAACTCAAAATTAGCTGAAGGAAGAAAATAATAAAGGTATATTAGTCAGCTTGGACTGCCATAATAAAATACAGTAGACTGCGTGGCTTAAACAACAGAAATTTATTTCTCACAGCTCTGGAGCCTGGAAGTCCCCCATCAAGGTGCCAGCCAATTTGGTTCCTGGTGAAGGCTGCTTAGTGGCTTGTAGGTAGCCACCATTTTGTTGTGTGCTGACACTGTCTTCCTTGTTGGATGAGAACACAGAGAGCGAAAATGAGAGAGAGGGAGAAGGCAAGCTCCCTGGAATCTCTTCCTCTAGGGACACAAATCCTATCACAGAGCCCCACCTTCATGGCCTCATCTAATCCTAATTACCTGCCAAAGGCCTCACCACCAAACACCATCACATAAGACATTAGAACTTCAACATACACATTTTGGAGGAACACACACATTCAGCCTACAACAAAAGGTAAAAACAGAAATCAATAAAACAAAAAATGAACAAAATATTTAAAAAACTTCCAAAGCCAAATTTGGTCATTTGAAAAGACAAAGTTGACAAAATCCTAGCAAAACTGATTATGAAAAAAAAAAAAAAATTAAGGCGAGAAAAAAGGGGAAAAGACCAGTTACAAATATCAGCAATAGGCATCAGAATATCATGACATACGTGAGAGTCATAGGATAATAATATGAACATTTTAGGACTAAAATTTCAACATCTTAGATTAAATGGACACAAATTTTAAAAGACACAATTTGGTACACTTATTTTATTTGTTTTCTATTGATGTGTAACAAATTACCATAAATTTGTTGGCTTAAAACAACATACTTTTATTTCACAATTTCCACGGATCAGGAGTCAAGGTACAGATTACCTAGGTCAGGTAGGTGCCCATGCTCTGCTGATGCGTTGAAGCTCTCTGCTTTCTTCTTCTCTGTCGTCTAGTCCCACTTTTAAAGGGTTTATGTAACTACGTCAGCACCCCACCCCCAGCCCAGTAATACGGGAAGGGGGCAGGGAAGTGCTGGGTAGAGAAGGTTGGGGTCCCTGGCGAGGGCTGCACCCTAGGGCCTGTGACCAAGGACCTAAGTAAGAACAGGCACTCCTGTTTTTTATGCCTGAATGTTGCATTTTCCAAGACCACCCTGGCCCGCCACTCCCCCCATTCCTGTGCCCATATAAACCCAAGACCTTAGCAGGCACACACACAAGTGGCTGAATGTCACGTGGAGCAGAGGAACCCAGTGACAGACAGCAGCCAGGAGGGGCGGGGGGGTATGGCAGAGAAGGAGGGAAGAGGAGTCTGAACGTTGAGAGGAGTTCGGCCAAGAACAGCTGAACTCCAGGAGAAGATTATCTCCCCCACTCCCCCACCTTCTGGATCCCCATCCATCTCACTGAGAGCCAGCACTCAATAAAACCTTGCACTCATCCTTTGAGCCTGCATGAGATCCGATTCTGGGACACTGGGCAAGAGGTCAGGATACTGAAGGCTGTCACACTGGCCCTCTGCCCCTGCGATAAGACAGAGGGTCCATTGAGCTGATTAACATTCAAGCTGCCTGTGGACTGCAAAGCTGAAAGAGCTTTGTAACGCTGGGGCTGTGGGCACACACCCCTAGACACTACTGCAAGACAGACAGCCCAAAGCACTCTCCATGGACTCTGCACCTGCCTGTCTGCATGCTCGCCCTAGTGGTTTCAGCTTAGGGGCAACTAAACAGGCCAGTCACACTGCTGTCAAACATCTTGCAAGGGGAATCAGGAAACTCTCCCATTTCACTAGGAAAGTCTCCCTTTTGACTATCATAAAGTCAAATAATTAAAAGCCTTAATTGTATCTGTAAAATTATTTCACTCCTGCCATATAAAATAACTTAGTAACAGGAGCGATATCCAATTATACTCACATATCCTTCTCACACTTAAAGAAGTAGGGACTGTACACTTGGGAGCGAGAATCTCAGAGTCATCTTAGAGTTCTGCCTCCTACACTGACAGAAAACATCTGGAGAACCGTATTTCATGAAAAAATATGGAATTAATTATCAAAAACTTTTTCAAACCAAACACTCCAGTTCAAGATGACTTTACTGGTGAAGCTTAATCAACATATAAATAATAAATAATAACAACTTTGAACATACAGTTTCAAAAAGTGAGTAAGGAGGAAAACTATCAAATTATTGTAGGGCTGGCCAGCATAATCCTGACACCAGAATCTCATAAAGATATCACCAAAAAAGCATTTGTCAATATCTTACATTAAAATAATCATAAATTACATGTCCAAATAACGAATCAAACGTGATAATATCGATTTGATTGCAGTATTTTATAACATGTTCTAATATCTGCTTAGACAACCTCTATTTCTAGTCTTCAAATTTTCCTTGTCTATTCTTAGGCATTTATTTTCCATACAATATTTAATATAATCGTATCAAATTCCAGAGGAATTTTGCTTTTCCTAAATGGCTTTTCCTACTTGGAATTATGGCCTTTCCTACTTGGAATTATGTTAAATTAACACATTAAATTTGGGAGAGTTGAAATTTTCATGTTTTGGATTTTACTTTTAAAAATATCATATGGGCATTTATTTGTTTGCTTTCATAAACCTTTATAGATTAAGTAATGGTGTTCTTTTATCCTGATAAACTATGTTATAATTTTGTGAACATTAGAAATGGAATTTTCTTTCTACTTCATTTTGTTAATTTTAATTTTTGAACTAAGGAGCATTATAATTTTTATATTTATATTTTATCCTGTTAATTCATTAATCAACTTATTCTCATTTTCCTAGATAAACAAGTCTATCAAAAGAATAAAAACAATAGTGGAAAAAACTTCATCTACTTTTTTCCAAAGTTTGTAGCAGTTTCTTGACCCATTGTATTTGCTGTCATCTTCAACACAGTATTTGAAGCCAGTATACATGAAAGGCTTCTGTCTCTATTTCTTATATAAAAGAAAAAAATTCATTTTGTTATTGTGGATAGTAAGGGATGTTTGTGTTTGGTTATTAATTATGTAAAGTTCTATCACTATGATAAAATGATCAGAAAAAATGTTAAATGGCTAGGTGTTATTTTTTACAGACCAAATCAAAGTTTGCAAAGCATATGTAAATAAGAGAAAAAGACATTATATTTGAAAAAAAATAATTGTTAAAAGATGGAGCCCACAAAATATCCTTTCTTACTCTTTGTGTACATTAAGGGCATTTAGTGTTTTCATTCTCCTAAATAACATCATATGCATATTTCTACTCCAGCTTTTCATAAAATACTCTTGTAAGTATGAAGGATTAATCAAGAGAAGGAAATGTCAACGTCCTTTACACACTAATGCAATAGGGGAAAAGTGAATACAAAGCAATAATATGCTTAAATATCTTAATTTGACATTTATCAGAAGCCTGACTCTGTGAGAAGTAGAGAAATGTTCAAGAGCACAACTAATATTCCCTTATTTGAAGGAAGATAGCAGTGATAATATAAACTAGCACAGACCAAATGGAATGTAAATGGTGTAGAAAGAAAAAATTATTGGGATGTAGAGGAAATAATAAGGCATCAGGATGTATTGTGACTTAAACTGAACCCTGATGAAAGGGTGAAATTGGATGAGTGGTTGTCAAGCTGTGAGAAAATCCTTGTGGGCTTGTTGCCTTGTTTTGATCAACATGAAAACGTTGTCTTCGCAATAGCTAAAGACACACATGGTTCCATATCTGGAGGACAAAAGATATGATTGAACCTATTGGAACAGATTATGTCACAAGGAATAGCAAGAAGAGAAAATTGCTGGATATAAAAGGAAGAAGGTTAAGTAAATTAGGCACTTGTTAAGTGTAAAAATAACATTATATATATTGTCCTTACAAGAGGAAAAGGCAGTTAATTTCACTTAATTCCTAGGATTCTTCCTAAAAAATATAAGGTTTGCTTCTTGGAATATACAGGCTTTGTCTCAGAACTAAATGTGAGCGATTTTGCAGTGAGCAGTTCTCCTTCAACAACATCATGGTGCACCCAAGCAAAGTGAAGTATCTATGGACAGATTTACAGACACTGAGGCATATTTATACTATAATAATGATTGAGCTGTTGGCTTGCTAATGACTTCAAAAGTTTTTAAGTCTTTCTTCAGTGTGCCAGCCAAAAATATCGTTATTTGGAAGCTCATTGTCAATAGAATTAAGTTAAGAATCAGTTAACTTAGTTGTGTGTGACTTCCGTGAACACTACCAAATGTGCAGAGCAGCAGATTCTTCAAGGGTTAACTTTTACATGCTGCCTGTATGATCTATAGATGTTCTTTAAAGAATCAAATATGTCTTTATCTTCTCTTAGAAGATAAAGGATAAATCATAATTGTTTTATAAGTACTATATATGTGAATTAGCTTATGAGAAACTCCTCCGCCAAGAATAATGAATGAGGTCCTTATTTCACAAGAAGATCTCAAAAAATAAGAAGAAAGAAAGATGTTGAACAGTCGTTTTTAAATTGTATACTTGCTATATATACGCAAAGGATAGAATGGAATATTTCCTTTAAGAAGAATAAAATATGCTCGATGATCTTGGACCTCTATTCCCAAAAGATATATTGTACCAAGAGCGAAGTGGTGGCAAACTAGCAAGAGTTGATGTGGATGAATTTTAACCCATTCTAGATAAACATGGGGAAGGTGGAGGGAGCATAGAGAAAGTTTGGAAGTCAGCTGAAGATGTTAGAGATGCAAAACCAGAGGTGAGTAGAGCAAAATCATGAAAGTTTTGACTCTAATGGCGAGGATATAAAAATTACCTGGACAGTAAATGGTGGTATTAATAAATTCATGCCTTCTGTAATCCTTGGGACCCTCTTAATTTTTTCGTCTTGTTCCTCCTTTTCAACAACTGGCTAATTCTTCTTTCCAGATAAGGGAGGATGAGGGTTTGGCTGGCAGTGGTCAAGGCGGATAGTAAAATGCAAAAAAAAAAAAGGAAGTTGGGAGTGTTGTCCTGGTCATTCTCTTCTCATTAACCTGCATAGCATAATTAAATGGTTCTCACCATTCAGATCTCAACTCTAAGTTCACTCCCTCAATGTGACAAGTGACTAGGTCTCTATAACTTGCTGTATGAATTCTAACATTCTGTCATTGCAAAGGCAATGATCTATTATAGGATGATCTATTATAGTTACAGTTTGTATTTTGGGTAACCTTTTGACCAATGTCTTTCTGCCTCTTTAGTCAATATGCTCTTTGAGAGTAGAAAGCATGCTTCTTCTGCTTAGCACCTCATGTAACACCGGACTTATAGTAGGTACCCAAATATTTTTGAACAAAAAAATGAATGTAGCAGTGAAATTCCATGAGAAGCATTTAGACTTGTTTTTTATAATGTATAAACTTTTCTATTGATAAAGTACTGAATAAAATTGAAAATATAAATCTCCCATACTCAGAATGGAACTTGAAAGTATGGTCAGAGATGACTGATGAACAGAATTTCTTTTAATTTAAACATTTCTTTTTTGCTTGTTGTGGTTTCCATTTTATCTAAATAAAAGTGATAATTCAACTTACATGTGTAGTTTCAAAATAAATAAATTGCCATACTCTAAAAAGTATTAAAAAGGAATGTAGAATGAGACAATAAATGAATCGAGAGTGTAACTTGGAAAAGTGTTCACATTTAGGGTAATGGAGAAAAAAGATAACAGTTGGAAAGGAGATAAGAAAGAAATATTAAACAGTGAATATAATAACAAGACAATTGTGTAACATCATTAATCAAAGAGGAAACATCTGAGATCTTATTAACTTCACAAAAAGGCAAAGAAAATAAGTGTTCATTGAGCACCTGCTACTTGCTGTGCTTTGCAAGCAGTTTAGTATAACTTATGTCTCATGATTACTATTCTTTTTTTTTTATCAGATGAGGTAGCCACTTGTGAGAAAACTTAAATAATTTGCTTGCTGCGATAAAGCGAGTAGACTATGAATTTTAAAGTCAGACTTAGGTTCAACCAGAACTCATTGTCATGGACATTCTATCTCTTTTTAAAGACTATGCAGTTCTATAATATTTCAAAAAACTTAATAAAATCCTTATCAACTCCTGTAAGAACAACACTTCCAAAAAAGGATATACAGCTGCTGTGTTTATAGAGATTCATAGGAAAATAAATAGATCAACAGAAGGTAATTTACTGTGTGGAAACTTGGAAAGGAAAGGGCCTGTGCCTCATTCCTTTCCTACTGGGGAAGCTTAGGAAATGAGCAACCTCAACCAGTTCTCATTTGTAAACATGCTATTAACCTTGGCCCAGCATCTCTTACTAACCTGATACTGTACTTACATAGAAAAGAGGAGTCCCAGGGCCGGACGTGGTGGCTCATGCCTGTCATCCCAGAACTTTGGGAAGCCATGGTGGGTGGATCACTTGAGGTCTGGAGTTTGAGACCAGCCTGGCCAACATGGCGAAACCCTATCTCTACTAAAAATAAAAAAATTACCTGGGTGTGGTGGCACATGCCTGTAATCCCAGCTACTCAGGAGGCTGACACAGGAGAATCACTTGAATCCAGGAGGCAGAGGTTGCAGTAGTGAGCGGAGATCTCGCCACTGCACTCCAGCCTGGGCAACAGAGTGAGACACTGCCTCAAAAAAAAAAAAAAAAAAAAAAAAAAAAAGGAGTCCTTATGTAATAAATAGTTATATCAGGATATATCCAGTATCCAGACAGCCCAGATTGCAATATTGTAAATGAACCTGCCATTGTCAATTTATGCTGCAGGGCTGCCTGGAGACTGGGAGCTAGTGAGTTGTACAATTAACAGAGTATAAAAAGATGTTTCCCCCAAATTAAAGTGGAATCTTTTGTGAGCTATATTCTTATGTATCTGTTCCAAAAAATTCTGTTATTCTGAAAACAAAAGGTGTTCTAAGAAAAAAGAAAGTGGACATTTTGACGTGTTGTTGTCTGACAGTTTCAGCCTCTTCTAGGAAAGGCTGTTTCATCTGTATTTGTTTGCGGTATTATTAGTAAAGATTGGTGCTGGGTAATAGCTGTGATTACTACGAATCTGCTTTGAGGATTTAAATGTTTGTGCTATTACAGAAATCAAAAGGAAAAGTGAAGAGGAGAGAGAATACTGACAAGAGGGGAGATGGCAGGACAAATATCCTAGGAGTCCTGCTTTCCATGATCAGCTAAGTATACACAGGTGAAGCATCCAAAAAATGTTCAATAAAAATGTTTAAAAGCAACTCATTAGGCTGACATTTCCCTTATATACTCTGTGTAAATGTGAGCCTTTTAAGTACAAATAACTTATTTGATGGGAAATTTAGTTATTATATTAAAATTAAATGTTTACTCTGCATATGCAAAGCTTTCCAGTGACTTCCAGAAATAACATACTTGCTCGCAATATGTGACTCTGGTAATGAAAATAAGTTTTTAAAATAATATCTTCCTATAAGTGAGATTCTCCCAATACTTGAGTTTAACACTCTGCAGGCAAAACTTTTCGAAACTTCAGGGTCAGTTTATTTTGATGACTAAGGAACTAACCCTTCTATAAGAACGGAATTATTCCAGAAGTGTAAAACAGATGTACTTCCAAATAGCCAACATAGTAAAGAAATAAGCACATAAATGTCAGGGAGATTACCAAATTCTAGCCATAGCAATGTGATTCTTGATGTTAACTAGTTTATAGAAAAATGAACTCAGTTTATTTTGTGCTAAATAGTCTCCTAATCTTTGTTTAAAATCATTAACCAATTTTAGATTTAAAAATCCCTATAGAGCTATTCCTGCCCTCCCTACCACTCTTCAGCTGTGCATGATGTATAAATGCTTTCATCTGAGAAACACCTCAGTGGCAAAACCATTTGCAATTCACAGCATCTGCCTTAATGGTTTATTACTGGGGGCTAATATTTAAAACAATTGCTATTTTGTGCAGTGCTTTACTACACCACTTGGAATGTTTCTCCTGATAGATAAGTAAAGGGACAATTTTCAGTATCTCTACTTTAACTCCAGGGTCCCCAAAAGTGAATTTGGCATATGTCATGTAGCCTGTATTTCACAGAAGACTTCCTTAAAATGGAGTCTCCAAATTTGTTGAAAAAATCCACCCATATTATTGCATGATAACAATAATAAACAGAATGAACTATTTTGCTTATATCTTGCAATAATTTTAGCTTCACCAGTACTTTTGATGTTTATTATTGCTGATTATTTTATAGAATTTTAACTTCTAACTGGAAAAGTTTTGAAAATATGTATATTTGCTGTTAAGTTTTAAAATAAGATTAAGGTGGACAGTAAAATGGATTCATAGTAATGAACACCTTCTGTTATAAACAATAATATGGAGTCACCTATTCCAATTTGTGTTTTTGTAGGAATGTAGGAAGCTTTGGTGTGTAATAGATACCCCTTAGGTCACTTGTCCATTTTTGGCACAGCGTGATCTTATCAACTAGATCTTCATTATATGGAATGTAAAACTTTTATGAGCCTGAAATGGAATTCTGCTTGTATAACACTTGTGATTACAGCAAACTGATTACAGTGTCTTCACATATCCCTGGACTCATTAATCTCAGAATTTGAGAGATTTGAGAAACTATAGTTCGATCCCCTCATCTATGGTAAGAATCCTTCCATAACAACTCCAACAGATGTCACTAAGCTTCTAGTTTAACACGTTCATGTTAGAAAAATAACCAAGTCCCAAGGAATTATATTATTTTGTGGGAAAATTATAATGGTTAAAGTGCACTGGTTTTTTTTTTAATGTTAAGAAATTTGTATTCTGTTAATTTTGTCACTTGAATAGTTCTACATTACTGTATAAGATCACCTGAATCTAACTTCTTCATTTATAACAGACCCAGTATATCTCAACTGGCTCTCTCTCCCTACCTCCCTCCCTCTCTCCCTCTGTTACCTGTAGCCATTAAAATCCTATTTAATACAGAGTCATCCTATCCTTAAGACTCATAGAACCCACTTCATAGGCTTGGAAAATCATTCTTCCAGTTTCTTAATGATACTTAGAGAACCAGCGCTTGATGACTACACATCTTTGTAGTCATGTGGATTAATCTTTTTGTATCTTAATTTTACCAATAAAATATGGTGATTATAATAGTCCATATTATTATTTTAGGATAGACTATTAATAATATAGAAAAGAAAATGCCTAGGGATTAGACAGTGTGCTGAATGAGCTAATACTCATGCAATCACATTGGGATCTTTGTGACAAGTCTATTGATCTGTGAATCATCAGGTAGCATTTGTAAAAATATTCAAATATTAACAGTTAACAAATTCATTACCTATTTATTGAAGATCCACTAAACTTCAGTGAGTTTTATAGATGGTAGGGATAAGAAAGTGAGTAAGAAATCCTGTGGTCTAGCAGGCTGACTAAGACCAAACAGGCAATGACAAACACAATGAAAAGTGAGAAGTGAGACAAGGATTGCTATGTGAAGATACAGCAGGGTCATCTAGCAGAGACTGTGGAAGACGTAGACTCTTCCAGGTGAACTATTTAAAATTAATGAACAGTAAAGAATAAATCTGTTAACTAAATGAATTGAAAAAAGGCAAGATGTTTCTGTTAGGAGAAAAATTCTGTGTGAAGACTGATGATAATATACTTTATGAGACGAGTTACAGAAAGGTCATTGAGGCTGGAGAATGGGAGAGGATAGTGGATCAGTGCTGGAGGGACACAAAGGATCCAGGTCAGAGGGACTTAGAAAGCAAGCTAAAGAATGTTGACTTTATGGGTTATGCTGGTATTTTCCATGCCCTCCACATACTAGGTATTATGCAACATTTAATCTTTGCTAAATTCATAGGCAAAATGTAAAATCTCCTCCTTTTTATTTTAAATGTTATTCAGTTGTGGATAGAAGCATCTTTAGGAGAGGGCTTCATTGGCTGTGATGTATCTTTCACTATGAACTGCGTGTTCATGTTCTCCATCCCTTTAGCGATTGCGTTGTTCATCTTTTGCTTACTGATTCTTAAGAAATTGCTGGAGATTATGAATATCAATTGTTCTTAAGGATTTTTTTCCAGTCTTTTTTTTTTAATTTGTTACTCTTTAAAAAATGCTACCTAAAGATTTTATAATTATATAAGTACATTTGTAGCTTCATAGACTTTAAGGATGTATGCAAGGTAGAAAAATGCATGTGTGTGTGTGTGTGTGTGTGTGTGTGTGTGTGTGTGTGTGATTCAAATTTTTATATGTACTTGTATAGATAGTCTAGCTACCACTTGGAGAAATAAGTGGAACGGAGCAAAACTGAAAACAGATAGACTAGTAAGAAATTTGCTGTGGTCATATCTAGATTAATGGAAGGGGTCATCTCTAACAGGAAGAACTGGAATTATTATTAAGGATGATATTAATAGTTAAACTAAAATTAGAGTCTCTACTAAATGTATGTTTTGGTGAAGAAGCCCATCAGTAACAGCCAGTACTTTGTCTTTCAATTAATGTGTTAGTCAAATACCAGTCATGCCAATACCCTCTATAAGGAAGGAGAAGGAAATAAACTTTGTTGAATCACCATGTAACATGAATTGTGTATATTCATTCATTTACTTGGTACAAGAAAACTGTGGGATTGCGATTATATCCCATATTTTTACAGATGAAGGAATTGAGGTTTATGAAGTTTAAATAACATTTCCAGTCATCGAAAACCAGGATATAACAGAAGATATTTGGTTCAAAACCTGAAAATTGGTACCGTCATATAATAGGAGAGAAAGGAATAATCCAGAAAGTGAAAAGAATTAAAAATGTGACCAAGTATGAATAAAGAAATTTGACAAAAAGACTTGGCCACATTGAATTAGCATTAGTTGGTATAATTAAGATTTAGAAGTTGAAAAGGGAAAGCTCAATGTCAAAACCATTATCTGAATATAAATTTTCAATAACTGCTCAGGGGTTAGGAAATCAGAGGACTAGCAAGCCATCCAGGAAAGCACCACCTTATGAGGCGTCCATTAAAACACAAAAAGAGAAAGAACAGAGACCATTTACACAAATAAAACAGGAGAAGTGGGACTTGGAGATGGAGAAAGGAAACCAAAAGCAAAAAGGGAGATATGAGTGTTTAACAAAATAAGAAGATTTAATAGATGAAGGAATTAAATTTGAACTCAGAACCAACCAAACATAAAAGAGCAACACAAGGTCAATGTGTGATATACAACTTTTGATGGTCATGAATAGGCTCACACGTCTAAAGATACCTCAATTAAAATCTTCCCTACCAGAATCACTTCATAGAGTTATAGCATGGTTAATTTGAATGTAAATCATCGTGGACTGACAGGACGTTTGCCTGCTTCTATTCGCTAGTGCAGTTTAGTTTGACAAACTGGACGACTGCAACACAAACAGGCCAAAACTCTGAGGTTTGGGTGCAAAGGGTAGATAATGCATATGACACAGTAGATACGAAAAACTGTTCTTAAGAGACAATTTTTGAAATTTATATTGGAAAGGTATTCATGAAGAATAACGACCTAACTGTCCTTTAAGCCTATGTCCCAAGAATCAGTTCCTCAGATATAATCTGCAATAATTCCTAGGGAGTGTGTCAGTTATTTTTAACACATGAGAGTGAAGTGTACAGGGCAAGAAATGTTCTCTGCACATTTCCCTGTAATTAAGAGAGAGACTCTTCTTTAACTAAGATCCTGGATCATACATTGCTCATTATACTTCATATTTCAAATTCTTCATTCATTGGGAATTAATGAAATAACATTGTTGGATTCTAAAAACAGATAAGCAAGCAGGAAAGAGAACATGTAAACAACCAAAACACCCAGATTACTTTGTGACTCACATGAATAATCTCAATTATTTGGGACAAACCACTGGGATGTTATGTACTCTATGGAGAAATAAAGACTTTCCCAGATGGCTAGAGTTATCCAATATTTGACCTTCTATAGCAACAGTCTTCAGTCATGATATACTCTAGTTCATGGTTTTATTACTGTATTACCGAGGAACAAATATTTACTAATTCTTACATAGACTTCAAATTAGCATACTGGCCTGGGGCCTGTGATTAATGAGACTGGATCTGAAAAACCATGCCATGGGTAATTAATATTGAAAAGCACGATCCAGTGAATTAATAATGCATTTCTGACAACCACTAATAATCATTTATACCAGATGTAGCTTCTCTGTAATAATAAACTGCTGAAATGTTTTAAGCTTCTAAAGTAGTTTGTTTGCCAGGACTTAAAAAAAAAATAGAACCTGTTCAAATAAATTTAGATGAAAAACAGATCTCTAAATCACATACCTGTAAGTTTACGGTTTTTATACAATAATTTAGATTCTATAACAGTGCCATGATATTGTATTGTATATGAGCACACAAAGTTACTATCTATTCTGCTGGGTGGACTTTTAGTCTGTTTACTGACAGTAGATTACTAAGCAGCAGAAAAAGGCTTTTAGAATAAAAATTGAGTGGCACAAGAGTCATCAATAATATTATCAAAAAATTATACTTTTAAAAAATATGAAAATCTATAAGGTTAAAATATGACTTGAAATAAGTTCTCTAAACTGTGGATACTTCTACTCCTCAAACATAACTATTTTTATTCTTTTAAAATTTATTTCCAAATCTTGTCTACATAATAGATCATACATATATATGCATTTTTTTTACATTGAACCATATGACCTTGCCATTTTTTACCTACAAAAATAGTAATTTCACAGAGCTGAAGCCACTATTTCCACCATTTCACATTAATATATTTTCTGATTTGTTTTAGATTTGCTTTTGTAGCAGCATATTTTTCCCAAAGCCATTTCGAGGAAAATTGTCTCTGTAAGTAACATGGTAAATCAATGCTGAAATTTTTACCCCAACAGTCTTAAAATATAAAGCCACTTTTCCAAATTTGTAAACCTAGCTTGAGAAATGTAAGTATTGGAAAAAATATTTTATATTATTACTGAATTTTTGTGTATTTTAAGTAGTCATGGTCTACCAATTGCTCCTAGCAATAAGGTATTGAAATTGTATTTGGTACTTAGTTTTCCTTTTATTGTTTTTAATAGTCCCTTCACTTTGATTCCAAAACTATTGGTTATATTCGTTAAGTGAAAATGAATTATATCTCCTCCAAGAGCCATGGAAAAATATTATTTAATAATAATTATGATTTTTATCTCTAATCTGTAACAAAATTTTGGATATAAATCTTAATATAGATTATAATCAGTAATATCTTTCATTTAAGCAGTTAAATTAAACATCGACCCTTCATAAATCTGATATGGATTTAATACAAGGTAATATATGTTTATTATGCAAAATAACTAGATAGATAATTCTACAGAAAGATCAGAAACAACTGATATTTTCAGGTAAATTCAATTTTTTATTAAATTTTTGGCAATGATTTCTACTGTATTTTTATGTAGTACATAATTAAATGGGAGTAAAAGGTAGCGTTGTATCTATATAATTTTAATGTCCATTAAAATTTTCATGTCTATTAAAATGTCTTTATTTTCAATACTGCAGTCATATTACAGCATAATGTTTAAAGGGGTTTTACATATTATGAACTTAGTAAAATATGCTTTCAAAATAGTTTAATTTAGGGATACTATGTGATC
The DNA here is from genome assembly GCF_000001405.40 of Homo sapiens. Taxonomy (NCBI): domain Eukaryota; kingdom Metazoa; phylum Chordata; class Mammalia; order Primates; family Hominidae; genus Homo; species Homo sapiens. The sequence continues at coordinate 146,086,626 of NC_000007.14, forward strand.
TAATGCAACAATACATCCCTAAGAAATATTACATGCTTAGAAACAATATTAAGAAACCCATCTAACTTGCCTGAAGCAGAAAACCACTTAAGTTAGCTAAGCTCAAAATAGAGAAATTGCTAATGGGATCTATTGCGGATTCGTCACCTAAGGGAAAGGGAAATATAGCTAGGCACAGGAAGACTGGAAATAAAATCATGGATGGAAGCTTTTCTTTTGTGGCCCACTGTCTCTAATGCACTCGTCTCTATCATACCGGTCTCTCCTTCTTCTCTCTGCTTATGTGCCAAGCATCCCTGTCCAAGAATCATTCTATGTAAATTCACCTCGTACTGATCCATGTGTGTGTTTGGGGACATTTTTATAAATGGTGAAGTTTTTACATATATATTGGGATTATATTTGGTTTATTTTTTGCTATGGTCAGATGTACATACATCTAGATTACAGGGATGCACATCATTTATCATGGAGATCACAGGACCTATGATATTCATATTTGTATGAAGAAATAGAAAGATAAACATATGTTTAAATATATTTCAGAAAATAGAGTAGATACAGAAGCCCCCAGATATGCAAATTGACACTTTTTAAATGTTTACTTCTGAGCATGCGTACCAGATATCATTTCTTTGTAACAGTCATAAATTTTTCAGGGACAAGTTCAATAAGCCAAGTGAAATTTTTATGGATATTTGAACTACATGTTTTAAGCATGTTTTCATAGTTTGCCACTTGTGTTTTTAAATCAAATATTATTAAAATATAAAAAGTTATTGTAAAAAGACTTGTATTTAAAATGAAAGAAAAATAATTTGTTTCATTTTAAGTACCATATATTAAGTAGGCAGTTGCTAGATCCTGAGAAGCAAATCTGCATGAATCTCAAGCAATATACAATTTATAATCACTTACTGCACTTAAATAATTAATTGAGTAATGACTTTGTTGACTGAGTAGAATGTTTGTCTACAGAACGTTGCTAGTTATGTGGGTTACTCTCCAATGTATCCTTATTTGTAAAATGATAGAGTTTTTACTGCAATATTAACTATTATAAAAACATAAATTCTATTTTTCATAACATGTTCAGGGTTTTTTATTACAAATTATTTTAAAACTTTAAAAAGTTAATTTATCTTATACAACGATAACAACTCTTTTCATTGTTTTTCAAATATATTTTTCCACTATATCTTATACATTCTTTAAAATATTCAATTAATATTCAAATTATATTTTCTTCATATTAAGCTTTGATATAGTTAGAGAATTTTGTTTTGTTTTGTTTTTGTTTTTGTTTTGCGACGGAGTCTCTCTCTGTCGCCCAGGCTGGAGTGCAGCGGTGCGATCTCAGCTCACTGCAAGCTCCACCTCCTGGGTTCACGCCATTCTCCTGCCTCAGCCTCCCGAGTAGCTGGGACTACAGGCGCCCGCCACCACGCCTGGCTAATTTTTTGTATTTTTAGTAGAGATGGGGTTTCACCGTGTTAGCCAGGATGGTCTCGATCTCCTGACCTCATGATCCCCCACCTCGGCCTCCCAAAGTTCTGGGATTACAGGCGTGAGCCACCGCGCCCCACCAGTTAGAGAAATTTTAAATGACTAAAGTAGAGGAAAATACTGAAAAATATTATTTTGTGTAAATAATCTTAAGTACAGTTTTCAAGTATTGAATGGCTTGATAACAAGTTTTTCTGTTTGTAATTTAAAAAGTCACTAAAATTATGTGCACTGCAATGGGATTAAGTTAATATCGTTTTTTAAATATTTTAAATTTATTTTTCTTGGAAATTAGGATAAAATCAAATTACAATGGTGATATATCCTGCTTTTTATCTGATCCATGTTTCATCACATTAGTAAAAACTGATAATGTAACTATTGATTCAGAACTTACTCTTTATCAAGGAAAGTGTTAAGTCAATGTACTGTTTCATTTCAGTTTCCGTCAACTCTATGTATTAGGTATTATTATCCCCTCCCACACCTGCCTATTAGCATAGTAGGAAGCAGGGGTTCAGAAATATTAGCACCTTGTGCAAAACCACTATTTTTGCACAAGTAGCATTTTGTTGTTGTTTTGTTTTGCACAATGTTTTTGTTTCGTTTTGTTTTCTTTAGTTTTTGCTACTGGTGGTGGAGCCAGGATTCTAATGGGCTGTTTCTCCACAGCTCTGATCTAAGCCTCCCATTATGGAGAATCTTCAGAGGAGCACACGTCTTTGCTGGCTGGCATATCAACATTCATGATCCTGGCATGTGGAAGAATACTCTGATTATTGCCCAAGACATTAGCATTAAAAATTCCTTCTAAGGCATTTCTTTATTCTTAAGTAAATCCTGTTAAGGAAAAATAGGAATGTATAAGCGATTAATAAATTAAGGTGAGTTACTTTCTAATTTGACAGAATTGGGAGCTTTTAGCAAATAAGGACATTGCCCAGAGAGGAAAAGCAGATAATTCAGAGTGCTCAGAAGCTAGAGTTGGCTTTTTAGGGGAACTAACTTAAGAGTAAAGAGACTCCTTTATGTCTATTTATTGTTTATGAAATTGATGTAGATGTTACTTTAATAATTGACTTACATAACATTATTGATATTTTTCTACCCTGATTTTTCAAGTGATCTGTGTTCTTTATATTTTGACTTCTCTATAATATTTTGCACAAATGATAATCAGAAATCACAATGTGCTAAGTCTAAATGAACTTTAGAAAGAGAATGACAAACAATTTGATTCAAGATTAACATTATAATTGACATTCTTAAAAAAATATTTCAGCATTACTACATAAGGATCATGTTACTTTTGTAATTTTTCTATTGTTATGTGATAAATCAAAGAGGTAAAGAAAAATAAAGGATACAAGACAAATGATTAGAGTTCATTGTAAGCTGGGAAGAAAGCAATTCTTGTTAACTAAGTCAAATTGAAAGCGAATACACCTAAGAAAGTGTAAAGATCACTATTACATTTTGTCTAATGGGTACATCAAATTAATGCAAATTACTCCTGCCCCCAAAAAGGGTTCATAAATGAGAAGTTTTCTAAGGCAAAAGTGTCATTGTAGTGTAACTTTGAGTAGGTACATGTCCCTATCAGCTGATCTTATCTTCCAAGCCTACAATTATTAATCCTCTGTGTGTAGTGCTTAAAATGTGGTACTTCACATAAGAGGGCTGTAAAGAAAGAACGAAGACTTGTAAAGTGCCAAAGGGAGAGGATCTCAGGTCCATTTGGTTGATTAACAGTCGTTATTACGAGGAAAATTACAGGAAAGAATCTGTAGCCCAGGACAGAGCTCTTAACTCCAGATTGCATGATATTGGGAATATAACCAGAGCAGAGTTCAGATGAAAAGCCTGGCAGCGGTGACCAGTGGTATTAAAACACATAGTGATCTAATAAATAGCCCTTCATGTTGCTCAGTGGTTGGGGAAGGCTTCTAATTCACAAGGCGAGTTACTCTCTAATAATTGGAAACTATTATCTGGCTTCTAAAATCCACTTCAGACATCTATCTGTTTGGCCACAACAAAATCTGATAAGATCTTGATGAACAAGATGAAACAGCTCCACCTTAAGCAGGTGAGTGGGACATAGCACACTCGCCACCTAGTGGATATTCACTGTACTTTTCGTCTTTTTTATTCATCTGTTCTAGAATAAATGTAAACCACACATTTCATTTTATAAAATGAAAGTGTGTGTGTGTTTGTTTCTGTTGCCTGATACTGTGGTCAAGACTATTCTGACATATATTTTACAATCTGAATAGTTTGTAAAATGTGAAAAATCCCTTACACAGATGAATATAAAATTTGGCTAGATCAGATTAATCAAAGCTTGTCCTGTAAAGAGGGTCAACCCTTGTAAAAGCTTCTCCTGCTGATTCTTCCTTTTATTTATGACCTTTGTCTAATCTTGGGGTCACTGAAAATGCATCGTCCCTGCTGGAACTTTTATCTAGTTTCTATCCAATATCCATGTGAGGTGGAGTTGCTCTCTCATCTAAATGTCTTGATTTGAAAACAGAGTTCCTGTCTTCCATGAGTTGGGAATAACTAGTGCAGTTTTACCTTTTTAAAATCTTTTCCCCTGCTATATTGCCTCTTCATCAAGGTACTCGTTCAAGACCCAAAAATATAAATCTCCAATATTGTAAATTTAAGCTTGATGATACACCAAAGAGCAGCTGTTTTAGGATATTTCAGGCCTTCCCAGCACCTATCAGATTGCAGGAGAGCTGCCAATCTGCTCTTTCATGATGCTAGTCATGGCCTCGGAGTTTCATTTTACCATCTGGCACATCAGGATCACCTCCCCAGATAGTAATCATCATGCCAACAATAATACAGTGAAATCAGAGTTGGAGGATTGCAAAGAATTTTAAAGGTTATTGCATACGCTACCAGAGTTTTCAGGACTGCTTGGTGCTTGTCAATTTCATAACCCCATATCTGATGACTGGCTAAGTTTTCTCTGCTTTGTCCTCAGAAGCCTAACACCCATGCCACTGATATGTACTCATGAAGGCGGTTTCATTAGTGACCCACTGCTGTTCCATACTAGGCAGAGAGTGAGTTACCCAGAAGTATCCACCTATATGCTAACATTTCCCCTACACCGCTGAATAAAATGTATTTCCCCATACTTGTATTTGAGGGCCAATAATAATTGATGGCTTCTGTTGTTGCCATAATCCACTTTTCTAAGAACCTTTTATATCACTCCAAATTTCATTTCCGCTTTGGTACATTTATGCTCCTTGTGTAAAACCCCTACCCTATTCTCAGTTTACCTAGTGTAAACTTTTAACCACATGAATCAAACATCAACCCATACAATGAATTTTGCTTGGCAAAAAACAATCACAGCAAAATAGAATCTGGAAAAATAATGTAGCTCATAGGAGGAAATGACATTAATATGTAATTAACGACATTAATGACAATATGCGTACAGATTCACCATTAAATATAATTAGGTTCTCTTATACATTGTAACATGGTGATGATTCTGCAGTATAAGTGTTATACTTAATCAGCAAAGGTTTTTACATGAAAACTCTGGGACTGAATTCTAGCAAATGTTCATACAGACTAAACAAGTTTGCAAGCCTGGAAACCCAGGACCAAGAAGCATAAAATGGAGAGATAAGATGGTGCGTGCGTGTGTGTGTGTGTGTGTGTGTGTGTGTGTGTGTGTGTGTGTGTGCTCATAGGTTAAAAAAAATGCTGAGTAAGTGACTATTTTTTCAGAAACTTCAGGCAATGGCCTAAAATTTAAACATTTTCAGTCCTGCAGCTTATATCACTTGTGCCCAATTTGATATAGATATCAAACTATTTCTCTCTTCTCTCTCTTTCTCTTTTTTTTCATCACATGCCAATGAAAAGAAAATTGAGAAGATTCATATTGGAAACATTTTCAGCCACCCAAAATGACACATCAGTAGTTTTGGTGACCCAGTGGTGTGATGGGATCAGCTTGTACCAGCTTATGAGAGCTGTATGACCCAAGTGTTAAATAGTCAGGAAGCAGTCAGTTGTTAAACACAGCCATTCTTAATTTCTTAAAGGTTATATGCCTTTACAATTAAATAAATTCTATAAAAAACAATTATATACTAACATTAAAAAGTCACCAATTTCTAATTTTAAATGTTTTATTATTTATGCTTTTGAGATTATGTATGTCTATTTCAACAATATGACGGAAATAATGTAAAATGATGAACTACTGTATATCCCTTTGTAACTCCTTATTCAGTGATGTCATGGTAATACGTTTAAATCAGCCTTGGTGAGGGTATCTACAGCATGAAAATCAACATATGTTACAATTCAAGGCTTTTTACTCTAGGGAGCTAGCTTTAAACATCTACCAGCATCTCAGTGGATGATAACATAATGTGGATACACAAGGCCCAGATTCCAAATTTAGTTCTGTTATATTGGCCTGTTTATTAAACTTTAAAGCCTCATTATACTGATCTACAAAATGAAGTGTTGAAGACATGGATTCTTGTAAAGACATTACATTTTAAAATCGAGTTCAACTTTGCTTCCTAATGGGCATAAAGGTAGCATAAAGCAGTGACATCAAACCTACAGAAAGACAACATATTTTAAAATGGCATATAATATATCTCAATAATGTACCTACTTTAGTGGGAGAAGTTTTATTTAAAAAAAGAGATGTTCAGGAAAAAATTCAGATGACTTGATGAGCAAATAGGTTATATTTATAAAATATATAACAATTTAACTTTGCCCATGTGGTCACTTTATCCTACGTAGAAATTGACTTATTGTTTTCCATATTACTTTTTGAAGGAGCTGAAACTCAAATAAAATAGAAATCCACAAATGATGTTTTCCTATTAGTAGGTTAAATTTATTAAACATTATGTAACTATAGTATTTAAATTGACCATTGAAATGCATTTATCGTACTTTATTTCATTTCCTTGTTATAGACACTGAAACTTTGCTTGCAATAGAGAGATGTTTCTGTTTTAAATCCTTTCACATGTTAATTGCAACATGAAAGCAATGTTTAAGAGAATCTTTTTTATAAAGGAAAATTGTTCTTTTCAAAAAAGTAAATAGTAGCTCCATTCTTACATGATAGGGAGTAGAAAGAATAGTAGAAAAAACATTTGACAACATATCTGAAAAACTAAGTGTTTGTCCCAGTTTTATAACTTATATGCTATCTGAAGAAGAAAAAAAAGTATCTTGGGTAGAATGAACTCTCAGTAAAAACATGTATTTTCAGGAGAATGAATTTAGTTTTTAAATAACCACTTCCTCTTACAATTTATTAATATAAAATCTTCTAAATGTCATAGAAATCAGTACAAATGTTAATCGCTGCTAACTTACTTTTGAATATATCGACATTGACAAATATTAGAACACTTTACTTCTTAAAACTATAGTGGTTGCTTTGCAGAAATGGAGTCAATCAGGCATCTCCGATACTGGCACGTGGTAGATAATAAAACGCATGGAGTGAACGAACACTGAGATGAGTGTTAATCATTTCTTTTATTGAGATTCACCCTCACAGTCCCAAGTGAAGAAACAAAGTGAGAAGGGCCTTAGAGTTGAAAAGGTAATTTAACATTAATAGCAAAATGCAAACATACACTCCACTTTGATTCTTTCTATTTTTCGCTGGTTTGAAGCACTTACAGTCACCCAGTCAACTGGACTTAATTGAGTGTGCCATCATGCATTGCCCTGCACTAGGTACCATGCAGAGGAAGGCAGAGTCATAGTCCCTGTCTGGGGAAATCCATAATGGAATATCCATAAGAGTACCACCGCTGTAGGATTTTATATATACGTGTGTGTATTTGTGTGTGTGTGTGTGTATATACGCACATATATACATATATATAATACGATATATGTATATACATATATATATCAAGCTTCCCAACCCAGTATTATAAGGCAATTTCTTAAAGTTGATTTGTGATTGAGTACAAGATTTAACACTTCCCCTTCCTGTAAGCATCATGGTTCCTAAGCCTTGTATGTTCAAGACACCTGTCTATGGTGAAGGCTGCAGGCTGTGAACTTCAAAGTGGAATGATCTCTGCCACCTCACACTCACAAAACTCCTGGACTTCTGAGCCCTGATGTACCTCTGCTTGCGGTGGTGATCTCATATTCTCATGGATGCCTCTCACATGGGAAGACTTAATTTCCTGACTATTGTCTCAGTCTTGGGTCTTTCCCCAGTTGTGGTGGCAGAGAGCTGAAGGACTTGGAAACATTATTCAGTGTTCCAATTATTAGGAAAAATGCAAGCAGATGGAGCAGGGAAATAATATCTTTTGCTAATTATTCGAATGGATGAGCTGACAGAACTTTACACTCTCCCAAGAGAGCCAAAGGGTCATGGATCTCCGGCCAATTCTGGCCAAGCTGGCCGGCTGCCACTGAGCACAGAGGCTGCCGTCTGCCTTTCTCTTCTGGTCACCTGAGGCATTTGTGGGAGAGCCCTTACACTTTTTCTCTCTTTCTTTGGCTTTTGCTGTTGTTTTAATGATAGTTTGAGTCAATGACAGACTCTCTGTTAAGTGTTAGGAAAACATTTTAAAATCTAGTTTACTAAATGTAGAAGCGTAAATGTATGTTTAAACATCTACATGTGCTTTTGGTATATGTCATAATATTTCTATACATTATTTTTCTTGCAAATAATGTATAGAAATATCATGATTTTCCCATTCTCTGAGGTATTCATTAATCCCTCCAAATCCTCCGCCTCCCTAAAGATTTCTCTTCCTACCTCGCTCTGGTTGCTCAGCATTTCCACAGAGCACTGATGGCACTACACTTACAAGTTTAATTTGTGCACAAGCCTGTTAGCTCACTTCTGTTCAACAGCTTTCAGCTGCCCTCCTAACCCTACACAGATGTCTCACAAACTCATGTTCCTGCTCATGGAGGACAGGCAAACTGAGCAGGGTAAATCTATCACCCCAACAATGCAAAGCCCTTGACCTGGTGAAGGTGAGTCGGTAACACCATGCCCATATGCAAAGCAAGCACATCACATACTACATGCTCTTCCCAGGTTTAGTATTGCAAATTCTACACATTTGCAGAAAATATGTAAGCCCTCTATCTACCTTTTCCACTTCATTGAGCCTCTCAAAGGCCCTAGCATTACCTCTCTCTCACACCATTACCTCCTGTACAAATGAGCTACTTCTGAGGTTCATGCTCCTTGTCTTCCAAGAAATACTCTCTTTCCTATCATGCCACAAGACCCCTTTTTAAAATCCAAGGAAACATTCTGTACTAAGAAAAATAATGTGATGAAGTGAACCACTTAATTTCAGGTAATGTTTCCAACCCTTCATAACGTAAAGATATCAAAATGAGAGTTTTCCAACAAAAAAGTTCAGAAAAGCAATATATAAATGTGAAATGATAAAAACATAGAATTCCATTTCTCTTATTAGCATGACTGATTTCTTTGTTAACAGGATTTGACCCTTAACACAGTAAAAGGTTAAGTCTACTTCATTTGGCATTGTAAAAATAATTCTCTGATGAAGTATATTACCAAAGAAATAATGTACATCACAGCATTCACCAGTTCTTGGAGAAAAAAAGTAGCTTTACAAATTACTCAGTGACTCAACACACAAAGTGGATTTTGCTTCTTCAATCATGCATTATCAGAATATGCAGGATTTCTTTCTGTCCTTTTGTATCTGATGGGGATGTACAATCACAAACTTAAAGTTAGAAGGGACCAAATATTACTATTATCTCTGGCTCACAGATAATTTAAAAAATAAGACTTCACGCCTGTAATCCCAGCATTTTGGGAGGCCAAGGCGGGCGGATCACGAGGTCAGGAGATCGAGACCAGCCTGGCTAACACGGTGAAACCTTGTCTCTACTAAAAATACAAAAAATTAGCCAGGCGCGGTGGCGGGCGCCTGTAGTCCCAGCTACTCCGGAGGCTGAGGCAGGAGAATGGCGTGAACCCAGGAGGCGGAGCTTGCAGTGAGCCGAGATCGATCGCGCCGCTGCACTCCAGCCTGGGGGACAGAGCGAGACTTTGTCTCAAAAAAAAAAAAAAAAAAGGCTTTTTTTTTTTTTTCTTTTTTTTTGAGACGGAGTCTCGCTCTCGTTGCCCAGGCTGGAGTGCAGTGGCGCGATCTCGGCTCACTGCAAGCTCCGCCTCCTGGGTTCACGCCATTCTCCTGCCTCAGCCTCCCGAGTAGCTGGGATTACAGGCGCCCGCCACCATGCCTGGCTAATTTTTTATTTTTAGTAGAGACGGGGTTTCTCCATGTTGGTCAGGCTGGTCTCAAACTCCCGACCTCTGTTGATCCGGCAGTCTCGGCATCCCAAACTGCTGGGATTACAGGCGTAAGCCACCATACCCGGCCAATATTATTTAAAGAAGAAAGGTCTTGCCTCTATTCACATGGCTATTCTGTGCTTGAGTTGAAATGTGAACATAATTCGTGGCTAGCACTTTTTAGACACATTGCTATGTATACTTACCTGCAAGCATGCATGCGTGCACACACACACACACACACGCACCACACACACTCTCTCTCTTAATATTTATCCTAATTAGCAATCATGGAATGCTGTATTATGTTCTATTTTGCCTGTTATCTTGACAATAATTAAAAACAGCAAATCTAATGTTAGAAAGTTATAGGAATATTTAAATTCATATACACTACTAGGGGTACATTTAAATTGTGAAGAAAATGTGACAATATATTCCAAATGCTTAAAATGTCGCTGTATCCCTTGGCCTATTCTATTAGATTCAGACAGAAAAGAGATGACTTACTTAACAGATATAAATAAGGGGAGATTGATGGAGGTGCTATTTACGGAAGTGTGGCCAAGAGTAAAAGAATCAAAGCATATGAAGCATTTAGCGACTAACAACATGGGAAGCCATTTCCACCTCTGAGGCAGAAGAGGTAAGTCTGGTGACTGATGAAACCCAAGCATGGAGAAAGAGGCATAGGAGATTAAACCACAGAACTCAGCTGTTGTCAAACCCGAGGCCAGCCACTAGGAGGTGGAAGCACTACAGAAGAAGCACCCCAACTTCTCTTTCCTCTCACCAGCTAATCTGCCAGAGCCAGCGGCTCTCATTGTTGTCAGGGGAACGATGGAAAGCCAAGGTCCCAAGTGATGAAGCTCATGAGGGTGACCCTGCTTTGGAACCAGGCAGGACAGAGAAGGGCAGTAAATGGATCTTCGGGGTGTTCTCATGGAAAACAGAGAGTGATCTGCATACTCATCAAGCCATCCCTGAAGAAGTAAGCTGAGATTAGTGCAAAAATGTATACACAAAATGCTAATGCTAATGCTAACATTATTTAGAAACATAAGATCGTGGGAATACTATATATAATCAGAAGTAAGGTATTGGAGAACTAAAATTTAGAAGTGACCCATCAATTTTCAGTTGCAAATCACGAAATAATTTAAATAGCATGTTTCAATGGAATATGTATTGGGGTGCACATATTTATGCTATATAAGTTAAAATGAGAAGGCTACAAAACATATACATATATGTGTGGGTATGAATATAATTACTGCATATTTATATTAACGCTTATATAAAAACTAAATTCATTTGAAAGACCTAAAATTAAGAGTTTAGAGAAGATTGAAAGGAGGATGAACTAACCAATAAGAGAGTAACATTATTCCCTAAAGAACTTTAAATGTTATTTGTTCCCTTTCAAGTTTAATTAGAATCATGGTGCGGAGTGCGAGTAAAAGTCTTTGTATTGAAATGAATGTGATATTATTATTTCATGAGCACTGAATACATTTTTTCTATATAAGAACAAATGTAAAGGTTATTAATATAAACAGAATATGGATTTCTTCTAAGTCAAGATCAGTTGGTAGAAAAACAATTGACCAATAATCCTAGTTGCAGTGTGGCTTTGAGACCAGGAATACAGAATATTTAAAAACTGTATTGTTGACTATTGTCAAATAAGATCAATTGAGAAAAGCAGACATCTTGCAATCAAGATTTATGATTACTTATCATCCTAATACATTCATGCCTGTAGCTTCTGATTTTTATACACTCTATCTTTTCTACTTGTATGAATTTTAACTGAAAAATATATCACAGCTTTTTTCAACTAATCATTATGACTCCAGTAGAAAGATAGTGACTACACATTGAGAAACTTATATTCTCTACAATTAAATAAGTAATCATATATACATCTGGAGCATTTCAACACCAAAATCCTCATGTTAAAGAGACCATATATAGGTAGATATTTATTCACCAGGGGTCAATATCTTTACTGTAAACTTTTATATGAATTTAATCAACAAAAATATAAGAAACATTGTTTTGAATAGCCTAAGTAGACAATATATTATTTCATAATCTAATGGTAGGACATATAACTATTTCAGTCTAGGACAAATGTTAACCTTGCTTAGTTAAAAATAAAAGCAGTATCATTGAAAAGAAAACAACAAGAAATATCAATGCTATGAAACATTGGAAAAATATGAAGTAAAGACTCCCAATTCTAAGTGCTCAGAGTAACAAAACAAAGTTATATGGCTGTCATATTCAAAAGAGATTATTCTAGAGGGAAAGAAACGTGACATTGAAATGTAAATATTGACCAAATGGTGATATTTGGAAATCAATAAAAGATAACAGGCTAAGTGAACACTAAAAAGATGACAATTACAAAATAATAATAACAGAGGAAACAAGAATTAACTGCAAAAGTTAATAATAACAAAATTAATAAATATTTCCATGCAGTGGAAACTTTCATTTTTTACTGTTTGCCTTCTACTACTGCTGCTTCACCAGAATCTTCTAATAATAATCTGAATTCATTGATATCTGCAAGTAGCTTGCTTTCCTTTAGCAATGCCCAACAACAACTTCTATCCATAAACAGCCATTGATGCACAGTGCTGAATCATTTTAGTAAAGTTAACATAATGTTATAATCACTTCCACAGATTAAAATATTATATGCACATTTTAAAAACAGAAGCAGTGACAAAGATCTAATTGTGTTATATGATCAAAAGGAGGATGTTACAGAAAGGGGATATACAAAGAAAATAAATGAAGGTGCATCTGTCTGGAAAGGAATATCATGATTGTTCCATTATTGTTCCAGCTTTTCCAGCTCCTGAAAATTGGAGGCAGGGTGGGAGTGGGGCGCTGGTAAATGAGCTGGTTAAAAACAGAATCCTTTTAAAATAAGCATTTGAATGAGAAAAGAAAATAATCTAAAACACCAGAAATTTGCCTAGACTAGGCGGACAAGAAATGGTCAGATTTCTCACTTATAATAAAGTCAGTAATCATTGCTCTCTTTTCACATTTTTTCCCTGCTTGCTTGTACCTTTTTACATTCCATTCTCTCTCTCACTTTCTATCTCTGTCTCTCTCTCTTTTCCCTCTCCCACTTTATCTCTTCTTTCCTTTCTTGCTCAAATAATGTCTAATAATAGCTATTGAGTTGTTTATTTCTTTCTCTGCATTTAAAAGGCAATTGCAATTGAAAATGTTTATGATTCTCTATTTATCATAAACAAATTAATTCTTATTTGAAGGTGATCTTCCATTGATTATTCATACTTGATATAGGATGATGAATTTAACATAAGTGGAAACTTAAAGAACCCTTTATGAATAAAGCAATATCATCTAATTCTGTTTTCTCATTTAATCCTTTTACTGCCATGTTCTTTCTCGTTTGCTATATTGCAACCTTTGAAGGCAGTGTAACATAATTAGCTAAGCCCATGGCCTCCATGGCCAGACAACTATGTCCAGGCTCTGCAATTTACTGGATATCACTGACTTTTGGTAAGTTAACCTGACTGTTCCTCAGTTTCCTCTTTGGTGTAGTGGGGATAAAGTAGTTGCTGTGAAGATAAATGAGCTAATCTTTGTAGTTTTGGAATGGTTCCTGGAATTGCCACATGCATCTGTGAAATAATAAATCAAAACTCTTAATTTCACAGAACTTACCCGGGTAGCAAAACTAGCTACTGAGCAGCCAAAATAGATACCACTAATCATTCTACATTTCAGGTCTAAGATTAAAACAATGGAAAAACATGCTTACTAATGAAAGTATATTGAGAATTCCTTCACTGGGATGATGGCCTTCATTCTATTATTCAATAGCTCTTGAAGGGGTTGCCAGTCTGAACAGAAACAGTCACTCTTGTAGTTTTCTTCCTTCCCAGTCACTCTAAATTAGAAAATAGTTCAGAAATTCAATTTTCAAGACAATTTGTGTTCGGGTTTTAAAGGTTTGTAGGTGCATAACTACAGGAAGACTGAATTAAAGGCAAGTCCCAGAGGCAATTCTAGACACACAACACCACTTTACACAAATATTTTATAATACTATCTGAAACAAAGGTTATAGATAGTATAACCCATTATACAATTTCACACAATTTCAAAAAAAAAAAAGAATGTTCAAAAATATTTTGAAAATAATGCCTAAACTCTAATATAAATAAAAATGTAAGAAAAATAATTTATAATAAAATAATATGCATTTCTTAATGTTAATATGCAGGTACAGAGAAGGTAGAAAACATAATGAAGTTTGCAGAGCCCCATTGCTACTCGGATTCACCACGATTGTTTGAAATACGTAAGCAGCAGAAGTAGGAATACTATTAGTGGTATACTTTTAGTCTCACAGCTAGTGTTGCCATCAGTGACATGATTTTCTAAAATGGTATTTAATGTTAACTAAAGTTCTATTAAGAAAAAATAATAGTTTTTTCTCTCAATTTCCACTACATTTGCATTTTGGGAAAATTCAGTGTATATTGAAACCATGCAGAAAATACTTTGAATTCATGTTAACACTAATTTGGGCTCTATAATCATTAATTATAAACGAATGTTCCGCCATACAATGCACAGTGTCTACCATCCCTCACTCAGTAAATGCAGAAGCACTTCACAACACTGTGACCACAAAAGACTAATTCAATTTTGCAAACTTCTTCCTAAAGATAGGGCCACCCATATTTGTAATCTTCTTACTAAAGTATATAATACATCCTTTAAAAATGAAAATAAATATAGTTTTATAGTCTGATTCTTCTGAAAACGCAAATGTACTCTGATAACTGGAACTAAGAAATTTTAAAAGGAAATGGTTGATGGTTGAGTGTCTGAGAATGGTTAAACTTTTCAAAGGAAGACACTTGACATAGACCTGTCTTTTTTGTTTTTGTTGTTAATTTTTATTTCTATAGAGTTTGGGGCACAAGTGGTTTTTTTGTTAGTGAATGAATTTATCATAGTGAATTCTGAGAGTTTAATACACCCATCACCTGAGCAGTGTACACTGTACCTAATATGTAGTTTTTTATCTTAGCCCCCCTCCTTGCCTCCCCATCTGAGCCTCTAGAATCTATTATATGACCCTGTATGCCTTTGTGTACTCAAAGCTTAGCTCGCACTTATAAGTGAGAGCTTGCAGTTTTTGGTTTTCCACTCTTGAGTTACTTCACTTGGAGTAATAGTGGAAGAAATTAAAATGTCAAAAGACCTGTGGTTACCAAAGACTACCATGCAGTATAGAGATTATATCCATAGCTAGGGTTCTAGAATAGATTCTAGAGACTGCAAATGGGTTAAACTCATTTCCATATGTCTATATTAGCAATCTGGTGCAATCTATAATAAAAGGCAGCTTCACTGAACACTTAACCAAACATGAACTATTGCAAGAAAGACAACAGAGTTCCTGACCACAGATGCTATGCCTGACTACTCTACTAAATGACATAGCGTAACTCTTGTTCCATTCAATTCTCATTCTTATACATCAAAAGAAAGATGAAAAGTGAAAAAGAGAATTCAAAAAAACTGTCTTTAGGACAGGAGATTGAACTTTTGTAATTCTTTATCTTGACTGAATCTAGGTAGGAAGCTATTTTTCCCTGTATCAGTTTTCGAAGGTTGTCATAACAAAGTCCCACAGAATGTGTGGTTTAAAAAACAGACGTGTATTTTTTCACAGTCCTGAAGGCCAAAAGTCTAAAATCAAGATGTCCTCAACGTAACTTTCCTTTGAGGTCTCTCTCCTTGGCTTGTAGATAGCTGTCTTTCCCCTTAAGTCTTCACATGGCCTACTCTCATGATATTTCTGTGTACAAATTATGATATTTCTGTGTACAAATTTCCTCCTCAAACAAGGGACTCAGTCATATTGAATCAGGCCCCACCCTAACTCATTTAGAGTTAATTACCTCTTCAATGGTCTTATCTCCAAATATAGTTACATTTTCAAGTACTGAGGGTTAGGAGTTCAACATAGAAATTTTGACGGGGCACAATTTAGCCCACAACACTCCCTGCTTGTGGTTGCCATGAAAATCATTAAGGAGCATGATAGAACATATCAAAGACCCTGAATTAAAGTGCAATTCTCCAAAAACACTCTTATGTTACTTAGGTAAATATGAGCTGTACTGAGATGGGAGTGATTTCATTCTTGCTCTGCAGTCTCAGTGCTGGGTCCCATAACCAGACGGATTATTTTCCTCTGGAACCAGAAGTAGATCTAGTGCCAAATTATATATGTGTACACTGAGTTATTTAGCGTAACATCTTCCCTCTTCACCATTCTTTAACTTATACTGATGATCACATGGTGTGTCAATCATGAACAAAAAAACTGCCTTTTCTTTTAATATTATTTTTGATTGAAGAATCATAATCTTATACATTTATGGGGTAAAATGTGACGTTTTGATATATGTATATAATGTGAGATGATTAAATCAAGCTAATTAATGTATCAATCATCTCACTTGCTTATCACTTTTTGTGGTGAAATATTTGAGATTTGCTAAATTTATTTGAAATATATATTATTATTGACTATTGTCACTCTGCCATGCAATAGATCTCTGCTATCGAACTGAAAATTTGTACCATTTGACCAAAAACAGCTCTCCATTTTCTCCCACCCCCCTAACCCTGATAACTGTCGTTTTACTCTTTACTTCTGTATTAGTCTGTTCTCACACTGCTAATAAAGACATATCCAAGATTGGGTAATTTATAAAGAAAAGGAGGTTTAATGGACTCACAGTTCCACATGGCTGGGGGAGGTCTCACAATAATGGCAGGAGGTGAAGGAGGAGCAAAGTCACATCTTACCTGGTGGCAGGAAAGAGAATGTGTGCAGGGAAACTCTCCTTTATAAAACCATCAAATCACATGAGACTTACTATCACGAGAACAGCAAGGGAAAGGCTCGCCGCCATGATTCAATTACCTCCCACCGGGTCCCTCCCAGGACATGTGGGAATTATGGGAGCTACAATTCAAGATGAGGTTTGGGTGGTGGGGACATAGCTAAAGCATATCAACTACTATGAGTTTGACTTTTTTCCATTCCACATGTAAGGGAGATCACGTAGTGTTTGTCTTTCTGTTCCTGGCTTATTTCACAAAGCATAATGTTCTCCAGGTTCATCCATTATCAGAAAGGACAGAATTGCCTTTTTTTAAGGCCCAATAGTATTTCATTGTGTATATTGCCATCTTTTTTATCCATTTATCTGCTTATGAACACTAACGTTTTTTCCATATCCTGGCTATTCTTATGAATAATGTTGCAATGAACATGGGTGTGCACATATCCCTTTGACATATTGATTTCAGTTTTTTTGGATACATACTCAGAAGTGGCTGGATTATATGGTAGTTCTATTCTCTTTTTTTTTTTTTTTTTGTAAATTGACACTTCACTTCCACTCTCTTAGCATTTTTCAAGAACACAATATGTTGTTAACTATGGTTACCATGTTGTACAATAGGTGTCTTGAATTTATTTCTCCTAACTGAAATGTTGTGTTCTTTGGCCAATACATCCCCAAGTACCCCAGCTCAACCACTGGGGTATGAGATCAACTTTTTTAGATTCCACATATGAGTGAAATTATGCAGTATCTGTCTTTCTGTGCCTGGCTTATTCTTCTTAATATAATTTTTAGGTTTTTTTTGTGGACCCTCCATATCACTTTCCATAATGGTTGTACATTTACATTTTTTATAATGTATTTTTTATCTACTTACATTTTTTTCTCCATCCTCACCAAGACTTATCATAATATATCCTTTTGATAACAGCTATTCAAACAGGTGTGAGGTAATATCTCACTGGGATTTCAATTTGCTTTTACCTAATAATGAGTAATACTCAATATTATTTATAAACCTACTGACAATTTCCATGTCTTCTTTTGAAAATGTCTGTTCAGGTCCTTTGCTCATTTCTGAATCAGGTTATTTGTTTTCTTGCTATTGAGTTGAGTTCCTTATATATTGTGGATATTAACCCCCTTATCAGGTATATCATTTATAAATATATTCTCTCACTTTTTATTTTTATTTTCAATGTAAGTACTGCATCTTCTGTATTTTCTTCCCTTATGTGGAAGGTAGTAGAGACTGTCTGGTGACATAAAACAGAATTTGACTGGACAGTGACTTACTGATGGATTTTGGATTAGTCAGACATTGTTTTCTCTCTTTCGTGTTTCAAAATACCTATGTTATTTTACAGTATTTCCTACTAGAGCAAAGGAAGAAGTCACTCACTTTTTTTTTCTAAAATCAATCTGTGCACGTTGTTCTTAATCTCATACTCTGCTCACTATGGGATTATGAACCATAAATCATGTCTTTTTGGAAAACTTTTTAGTTTTAATTTATCTTGTTCTCTTCCTTTGATTTCTTCTCTAAAGTTTTTTAAAATAATAAGTGCTATTCAAGAGTATAATCTTGGGATTAATTTAAATATTAAGGGTTTTGAAACCCTCTAATGTTTTAAAAAACATTAAAGTTTAATAAATGTTGAAGTTAACTGATCACGCTCTGCATTCACAGAACTATGTGAAAAAGAGGAAAGAATACAAAAGTTGATATAATATTTTCATTTGATATACTTCTTATGTTTGAAATTGATATCATTCTTCTTAAGAATCTAAAATAACCACGTTGTAATGTACTATTTTCTTCACCTACTTTCAGTCCATTGATTTTATGTACTTAATGTTACAGACACTGTGGAATATGAGCTAAAGGTCTGAATTCAGGAATACAAGTTTCAAAGCTTAGACTTTTACAAACTGTTTTATGTTCTAATGATATTTTGTTTGCTTGGTTTTGTTTTTGTTTTTTTATTGTAGTTTATTGTAAAATGAGAAATGGAATAGTGTCATCATATTGTTTAAATTTCCTCCTATGATAAGCAATTTCTGCACAGTAGAGAGAAGCCAAAGGTAATTATTCAGATGATGGTCTTCAACAGAGATAAGCAAGCAAAAGTATCTGATGGCAGTAATTATCTGGGTAACTTTCCTCCTCACTTTGCTTGGAGAAGCTAAAACATCCCTCTCTCTGTCTCTCTCTCTCTCTCTGCCTCTCTTTCTGTTTCTCCCTCTCTCCTGAAAATAAGAACCGTACACTCTATGGTCTTTGAAGTCAAATAAGGGGAAAAGTTACCTAACTTCTCTCTATGTGACTCTTTCCAGAGTAACCTGGAGTAGATAATTAGTTTGTTAATTATTTTAAAGCAATTTTTTCAAGTTTTACATTATCTTCAAATGTTGAATGAAATGAGAGGAGGAGGATTAAGTTGAGAACTGAAATTTGAGAAATGAATTACTGTGATTGCTTCACACAGTGAATCATATATTGATGCGGTACAGAATACATTGCTTGTCTCCATAAAGATGAATAGTTCTGCCATGTAACTAAACACAATATTTATTATGAAAGGTCCTCACCAGAGCATTAGGGAAATACAATTGTCATTTTCACCACTGAAGACAGGGACGTTGGATTCAGGTTTGAAATTTGAATTTAGTTGTATAAAATCCTACTTTATTTTCGAATGAAAACTTTGGGAACATTCTGGCTAGAGGTTTTTTGAATCATGAAAGGATAAATCTTTGTGAACCTAGTCAATTAGAAATCGTTGAGGTCAAGGGGGAATAATGTCAATGCCATTTCCACAGAAGGAGAGCCCCGCAAACCTCAGTGTGTGCTTCTTTTCCCCTTTTGCTCCACTTCTCCACTAGTCCTGATTGTATCTCTTAGTGAGTGGTAAAAGACAGGCAAATTGTATACTAAGAAAGATGTCAAGTTGTATGAGGGAGAAAGGATGGAATAGATTGTGCTATTTATTTGATGTGGTGGTGGTGGTGACTTTCCAGGGGAGGGCTGGGTGGAGAGAGCATGAAGCCACTATTGATTTCATACAATAGCTATGGTTCTTTACAAACACGTTTGTGAGGTCACCAAACATCTTGTTCCTATTTCAGTTTCATTTTCTACGTGTTCACCCTCCTCTGTACAGAGGCACTGGACAATAATCAGAATTATCTTAGGCAAGTTAATCATTTTAGGGTGAAGTTGATTACTTTAGTGTAAAGTTTTCCTATGTTTTTTCCTATCAGAGGACCAACGTTAACAAGAAGAAAAAAATGTGCTTACAGTTTCTTGGTCAATAAAATTGAGATAATTCTTATTAAGACACTTTGATTGCATATGTTAACTAATAACAAATGACTTAGAACAAGAACTGCATTCTAATCAACTAGGAGTACTTTATTGAGTGTATATTAAAGGTAAGCTTAAACTATTCCCATCCCAATTCATTCCTCTCTGTTTCTGGTGGAATTTAAGTAATAGGCTCTAGCAGAATAGAGAACAGAAAAGTCTCCCTTGAGCCTATCCTTCTGGTTACTCACCCCAATGTGAACATGAATAACTCTTCCACAGTACATGAATTTAAAAAGTAATATGAAGAAAGGTCTTCTCGTTAACTCAAGATGTGATAAATTGTAAAAATGACCATTGTCTCATTTCAAATACGTTAAGAGCAGATGATAGTGGTTTATACACTTAAATTACATAACTATAAAAAGTGTTCTACACAATGGAGTGTTAGCATATAAAATTACTTATTATCGATTAAATGTAAAGCACATTCGTAGATTATACCTAAAATAATGAGTATCATATCCATAGCCTTGTAAAAATTAGATACATGTGCCTTTCTTCTTTTAGTTAGATACGCCATTCCCCCCACACTCGCACATTCACATGGAAATAAATTACACCTAACTTGTTTCTGCCACTCCCAGTATAGAAGTCTTAAATTATTTTTATTCTCGGCTAGGGATTCCGAGATGATGGACAAAATGATCCAGGGCCTTCTAAATAAAGAAAATACCAACATGTCAGTCTATAATCCTTACAGTAACCAAATGTTGTTACCTGAATGTCAGTAATTGAAACTCCACAAAAAATAGCATTGTATTCCATACTTGGCATTTATGAAAATGACATAAGATCAAAGAATTTGAATTAGGATACATATGGTATATTTGAAGTTAATTTTCTTACGACAATAGAGGCTTAGACTTCTACAAGTAGCTATACATGCATTCTAGTCCCAAAGAAATATAAGCAAGACAATATTTTTAAAATTACTGTTTATTACTACCTAGTGTTTGGGCTAATTCTTGACCACTGGAATTGCAGAACTCTGAAAAAACACACACACACAGATACACACACACACACACACACACACACACACACAAAGGAGTGAAATTAGATCAGCCTGCCCCAAAGATCTCAGGCAGAGTTTGCTCCATTCACCTCTCTTGCCTCTCAGACACAGCTTTATTCCTATTTGGTCTTTCAGGGGACTAAAGAGTTACCTTCCAAGTGGTAAGCAACCTCAGTTTCAACTTGCTGCATGGACTCTTGAAGATTTAAGGAGATGAAGAGAAGTAGAGAAAAAGCAATTTTAACATAAAGTCACACTAACTCTGGAATCAGAAATATTTCAATCTAATTCAATTTTAGTAGATAAAGTTGAAATGATAATTGCATTATCAAATTAATGAATTCTCAAAGAAAGATTAAATTACATTCAATCTACTCAACATACTAAAGCAGATATGTGAGCTAGTATACATTAGAAATATTCTTAAACAAGATATAAATGAAAACACCATCTCCTCTCTCTCCTCCCTGTTCCTGGATAAATGGTAATTACGTGGAAATTTCAATAGACTAAGTTATCATTAATTATTATATTATCACATAAGCTACCGTGATGATCATTCAATTGTAATAACACAGTTATTTGGATCTTAGCAGAATTACTATAATAGGGGAACCTTAAAATTTATATATTCAAGTGAAAAAACATATTTGAAAAGAAGAATTAAACATGTTTGTACTAAAGCATTTAGTTAGTCATTTCTGAAATGTATTTTATAATCATCACATAGTTCAAACTGAAGTAAAATTTATTATTTGTTCTAGGTATTTGATATAAAAGACAACTTTAGTTTCCATAATTGCCTTCAGCTCTGCAAAAGTAAAAGAGGGCTTCATGTTTCCTATTGTTTGATGGGAGGGTGCATTCTTACATGAAATTAGGTTCAGTAAGAACTATGGAAGCAAGCTGTAAATGTTTTGGCAGTAACTATGCAAACTAGCTTAAACATTTAGGCAGTAATTATCATCTCAAATTTTGGTGCACTATATAGCTCCACTATTGCAAATTGAGGACATAGTAAATAAATTTGTAGAGAGATTTAAATCAATTCATCTTTCCAGATGAAAAAAAATTTAGTAATCTTTAGTTTCAAGTCAGTAATGTCAACTCCTACCATGTGAACAATAAATGATCATTTGTTCTTTTGATTGTTTACTTTGTTCTTTAAATGTCCAGATTCTCCAGAATAATATGCCCTGTTTGCTATATTATTTTATCTGGTCTATCTGACTGCTGACTTCAATCTAATCACTGGATTGGGTTTTGGATGCTACCTAATGTCATTCAACTTTGTCAGTAGATCTAGCATTTTCAAAAACTAATAAGAGGAAAATGGAATATGAAATTCCAAGAAATACTCCAGGAAAATATTGAGGATCTCAGATGTTTGGACATTCAACAAGCAGACATCATATTGTATGGAATGTAAAGAGGTAACAACTTGGAAATTGCTGTAGTCTGAATGTGTACCCTCAGACGTCATATCTTGAAATCCTAAGCCTCAAGTTAATAGCATTAGAAGATGAGGTGTTTGGCGGTTGGGTCCATTATGAGGACAGAACACATGTGAAAGGGATTAGTGTCCTTATGAAAGTGGCCTGGGAGAATTTTTATTCTTCTATCAAGGGAGGACACAGCTAGAAGGTACCATTTATGAGAGAGAAACCCTCACCAGACACCACATCTGCAAGCACATTATCTTGAACTTCTCAGCCTCCAAAACCGAAAAATAAATGCGTGTTGTTTATAAGCCACCCATTTTATGGTTTATTTTCTAAGAAACCATCTCCTAAAATTGAGTTAAGTGTTTATAATTTATTTGCTAGATGGTGTGTTTTCTTAACCTTTATTTGTTGTAAATGCTGCTACTAAAAGTTGATTTTTGGCTTTCGCATGAACCCCATTATAACTATGTACTCTCCAATTTGCTACATGTCTAGAAGAACACTAACAATAAAGAAAATGGGACCTGCCAGCATCATCCTAGACTCTACATCTCAGAAATGAGCTTATTCTTTTCTAGACAGAGCATATAGCACTAGCCCTAATATTCAATATGGCTGGAGTGCACCATTTTTCTTTACTGACACTAAAAGCTTCTTAGTGCAAGGGTTTTCTCTCCTTAAGTCAACTGAAGATACTATAGTTGATCTTGGTCCAGAAATATATCCTTGGGGATGAGGCAGAATGATAAACTTTTATCAACCCAGGAAAAAGACAAAGTCTGTAAATTCTTCTAGATGATCTTACTTCTTCCAAATATCCTTTGTCTGACACCACACTAATTCCATTTTCCTTTTTATTCCACTGAGTTGCTAAATTTTGTCAAGAATGTGACAATTTAGGCAAGCTTGTTTGTCAAATGTTTAAATCCATCTTTTGCCCCAAATAAAACAACTCTGCATCCTTCCCATGGCTATCTACACAATATTCATTATCATCAGTCTCACCCTATTTTGAAAGTTTAAGGATTTTATGGGTTTTCTTAGAAACCAAATGAAGTACCATACATGAGAATGTGTGTCGACATTAAGTAGATTTGGAGCATTCCATAATATTCCTCTAGTTCCACTTAGACCAAAGATGATAGTCTGTATCAGCTACTGCCTTTTTTTCTTCCTGTAGTCCTCACAAATCATTTTTAATTTTATTTACATTTGTTCTTTACATACAAGCTCATCTCCTCTTAAGTACCTGAACAAAGTATCACAATACCTCTCCTCCATTATTTAGAACCAGATAATATCCCAGGGCTGGAATTCAGTGGTCATGACTATTGTTTTCATTTGCTATTTCAATATGCACCTCTGTATTCACTTACTACCAAAAAGATTTCACAGGCCCCATTCCAAGAGGAAGTCACAGACATAGACATAACCCTCCAGTTCAAGTCATTTCTATCTTTAAGCCAAATCAAAGAAATTGTATTTGGAATGAAGGCTGTTGCCTAATTCTTCATAGAATTTTATCCATCTCCTCTTCTATGCTCTCACTCACCCTCGTTCCCCTGAGATGAAATCATATTAACTCTTGATGTTTATTAACCCAAATATTTTCCGTGGACTTACTGATCTCCTTTTTGGGAGTAAATTCTACCCAATTCCCTGTGGTCTAAAATGTATAATCATGACATCAGTAGAAGGATAAAAGTTTAAATAACCTGTCTGACAAGAAAAGTCCACATAAAACTTCACACAATCTGCTGTTAAAGTAGTAATAGCATACATCTCTAAATTCAGACTAAGATACTTTCCACAGCCTAGCTACTCATGTCACAAATTTCACACAAAAGTCAGCAAAATCTGCATTCGCCTATGTGATTTAGACACATTACTCAATTCTATCAAATCAAATGACCTGAGTTATAAAATCTAAAGGTCTTTAAGCCCTTGCCCATAAGACTGTGCTTCATAAATGTACTCAACAGCCTTCCTATTATAGTTTAGTATTTTGCATTAAAACAAACCTTTGATGATAAATTGCAAACTGTGAGCTGGTTATACTGTAACAAGTCCTACTTCCTGCTGCAGGCAGTCTACTTTGGGTAGCCATACTGATTAGACCAACTACCCTCCAACTTAATCCTGGATTTTTTCAGGAAACAATCCACTCATAAACTTGAATATTTCAGCAGCAACCACTTCTGGAACTGCAATTCTGAGAGCCTGACTGCCTCTCTGTAACCAGCCTGTAACGCTGAAAGGCCTTTTTCTCCCCTCTCCTTCATCTCCTGAAACTACTGCTTTAGGAAATGGGTCCTCCTTGTTGCTTAGACAGTCTGTACATCTATAACATAAGGTCTAGTCTCAATGGAGTAGTAATACTTTAATGCTTAGAATAATTTTAAACAACTCTATTTTTCTCTCTTTTAATTGAAACAAAGATAATTTTCAAAATCTTAAGAAGTGATCTTTGTTGGAAAATATGTACTTCAGTTCACAAGCCCCACATCTTGCCTTATGTTTCTATAGACCTTACTTTCTCATAGTTCTTTCAAATTCCAAATATATTTCCAAAATTTTATTCCAATATGCATTTTATTTTTTCACACTGCTTTCACATTAATATATAAATTGATCTTAATGTTCAGACAATTTGACATAACTTCTCATTGATAAAAGATTTTTTCTAATCCAGAAAAAAATCTAAATGGTTTTTCAATATGAATTTATTGAGGGATAAACTTAAGATTCTAGAACTTCAGTTTAGAACTTTGAGGTATATTAATTTATCTGGATAATAATAATAGTACTGGTAGTTAATCTATAGAGAACACTTTCTGTGCCTGGTATAATATATAAATTATGTTTAATTCCCAAAATAATCAAGTTTTATGGGTATAAATACTACTCTGATCTTATAGGTGAGAAAATGAAAGCATCCAGTGTGCGGGTAAGGTCACACAAAGAGTTTGTAGGCCAATACACAAATCCCAGAGACCAGGCTCAATTTCCACTCTAACTTGCTTCCTGAATGACCATCTGGTTCTTCCTAATTTCTATGTGATTATGACACTCAAAAGAAATTCACTTAAAATCTGGGCAACAGAGCTGCGCTGTGACCCCCACCTCACCCCGCAGAACATGAAGAATGCAATAAATATTAAGGTCAAGTTTTATATTCTAAATTTACAAATTAGTTTAACTATTTTTCCTCCCAGTTTCTTATATTAATTGAAAGTATGTTTACCAGTGCATTAAGACCACCCTTTGCTGACTTTACCTTTCCTACTAACATTAAACAGCCAAAACATGAATTGTTTCTTTAGCAATATATTCAAGGTGTTTAATCCAAATAACACTCGGTATCATGCATTTCCCTGAGACCTTTAAAATAAAGTGAAATTTTGGAAATCCCTTTAAGTTTATGCATCTTCCTCAGTATGTCATTCCAATTGATACTTGATTATGATATGAAGTATCTCAGAGTGCCCAGGGACAATTAGCAGGGCTAAAGGACCAAAATCCAGGTAGATTTTTCAGCTCACCAGAGGTTTTACTATGGGACTCTACTTTATCCTGTTCATGCTCACTAAAGAATAACATTCCAGACAGCTTGTATATTTTCAGAGAAGCAGGTGCTAAAGCCTTCTTAGAGGGTGCAATCAGACTGGCAAATGTATCTACTCTAATTTGGCCGATTTTTCAGCAGGCATTCACTGATTTCTGGGCATAGTTGGACAGCTCCCTTTACAGAAGGAAATTCTACTCCAAGGCACTCACCTAGACATATACCAATTTTTTTTAACCTATTGAAAATTCCTGAATTTTTCCAGTGCTTCATGCAATCACTTCAAAGTGTTAAGATTGAAATATTTTGACTCTTTTTTTTCACTTAAGTTCCAAAATTTGGGCAGACTTTTGAGATAATTTACATTGTGGCAGACTATTTACAGAACTCTGGAATAATAATGATGATTGTGATAAAAATAATTTTTATATTTGTTGAGAATATTAATTTTAAGAATGTATTAAGATATTGGAAAAAAAGAGCCAGTCAAGATTTACTTGAATTAATGTTAGCATAAAGATGATATGGACTTATTTTGGTCCGTTTATTCAACCACTCACTACCAGTGTAATATCCATCTTGGTCATAGGCATAAACTCTATGTAGCATAATGCCAAACCCAATAATAGTAGATATTCAATTAATATTGGGGATGCAAATGAAGAATGTGTATACTGCTAATGAAGTCACTACTCATGGGATCAAGCTAACATTTTTTAAAAATCTGTTGAAGTAAAGAGGATGTGAGCAGTGGGAAAGAGAAAATGTCTATTCTTTATTATTTTCCATTGCTCTACTTCCAAAATAATGCAAATTGCCCACTGTCTTTTCTGGTCATGCTGTGCATTTGGGGGAGGTGGGGCTGGGGTGGGGGGGCCGGTGGGTGGGTTTGTGTGTGTGTACCGTTGGTCCACTTAGTTTTACTACTTTCAAGCTTTAATTGACCTTACTTCCAACTAAGGAGACATATGTTCAAATCATTATTAGCTGTCTTCAATTATTTGCAAACATCAATGTAATATAGAAATCAATAATGAATTCACTCTCAGAAACAAGAAATTTCATGCTTATCATATCTACTAGACATCTGGTTGGACTGTTGTAAGTCCATTGACTGGATTACCAGTTTTGCTGGACCGTGTAGTTTGACCAGAACAAACAGACTTACTAATTCCTACCTTCTCACTAAAAGTCATAGTGATAACTGAAGGAAGAAGAAGCTTAATTCTAAATTCTAATTGTAATAATGATGAAAATATAAACTCTAATGGAGTTGGATAGGAAGAACATAGCATTATACTCTAGGGAGTCTCTGATCTGGCAACAATTAAAGTCTTAAGACTTTAAGTATTTTGAGTTCCAGATGTCCATATCTAATTAACACAAATTGAAGGCAGAGGTAGTTGTGTTACAAATGATGTGACATAACTTTCAAACCTGACAAAGTGCATTGAAAACAGATTAAAGCAGGCTCTTAGCTCATACTGGCATGAAATAAGACCATCCTATATGGCACAGAGGTGGTGCAGGTATTTACATGTGTTATTAAATTGAGTTTTGTTGTTTCTCATTAGGAGAAATTACTACAAACTGATCAGAATGCTCTTTGGAGAAGAATACACCCTCAGGTATATCATTTTCTGTTACAAAATAATTAAATAGATGTCTATTGCATGTCTTTTAGTTTGGTAATCTGGGAAATGGAATTGTTTCAGTTCTGCTTGAGATACCCATGGAATAGCATTCATTGAGTTACTGAAATGGTAATACTTTCAATCGCTGCCTTTTTTCTTCTATTGAAAATACTTTAATGCTATGTTATTGGAGTTCAGTATGATAGTTAAAATGGAGAGGCATAGTTAAATAATAGATTGTTCTGAAAAGTTACGCTTTCTGACAGTTTTTTTTTTTCCTATGACTTGTTTCTTTGAGCTCTTAGAAATGGCTGATGGCAGTTCTTTACTGGAGTGTTTTGGCAAGTGGTCATTGACTTTTGACAGTCTGTGATAATTCAAACAGCAAAGGGACATTTTATAATCCATAAGAATGCATTTGCTGTATTATTTTACAGGAGGAGTATTTTATAGAATGAGGAGGCAGTTCACCTCCCATTAGTCATCTGTGTGTTTCTTCATTTTCCATATTGTACCCAATCTGCAGTTCTTACTAGGACAAAGCATCCTTTTAAATTAACAAGAAACAAAGATCAAATAAAAAGCGCTGAATCAGACCCATTAACACCATATTAATTATGCAGTGAATACACAGTACTATTTACAGTGGACCTTTCTAAGACCAAACAATGATGTTAAAAACTCAGTTTATTCCAGGATTAGGCAAGCCTCCATAAATTTTCTATTTATCTTTAAATGCAAATGCTTATTCATTGCATAACATCGAAAGACATGGTTACTCCTACTTAGTCCTCCACAAACATCATTAGATATTTAGATGACCAATAATTTTTAATTGTGTCAATAAAGTCAGTGGAATGCTTGGCTCTGCAGAGACATAAGAATTCAAATACTTTAAGTAGACTAGATGGAAGAAAAACATATGGAGGGTAGAGTGTGAAGAGCTGTGAGCTGGGGAGAAGAGCTTGATAATTATTATTAAAATTATCTAAATGTGAAAAAATCTAGGTCTCTCTAAACATTCTTAATTCTTAGTGCTTGCAATGCCTCAGGTACCTTGAAATAGTTACCCATATGCCTGCTTATGTATTTCCGTTTTGTGTTTGTGTTTGTATGCGTGTTTGCCTAAGTGTAGTTTCTCCTGGCAGCAGCGTGTGTTTGGTGTACGTGTGCATATGTATGAGTACGAATTAATTACATATCGAAAACATGTGCATTAACGGCATCTGCAGTCCTCCCTCCCTGCTCCAGTCAGTCGGGATGTTTAGCACCGTCACTTGGTGTTAGGACCACTCGGAAGACCTGCCTGTCGGACGCCTGACTGTGGTTCCCGGGGGGCCGGAGCTCCAGGAGCCTGTACCATCTTTATCTGAAGGGGAGGAGAGAAGGAAAGGAGAAGGCATCCGAGCGAGGGTGTTCTCCTTCCTGCAGCCGGGTAGGGGGCAGCCAGGTTTGGAGCAGGGTTCTAGGATTACACGGCAAATCCCCAACTTCAGCACCGCGGACAGCATCACCTCCCGCCCAGGGAGAGGCGCGCGCCTCCTTGCTCCGCCCCCGCCCCAGCTGATGGACCCCGGCCGGTCGGCTCAGTCTCCCTTTTGCTTTCAAACGAGGCCAGGGCAGGGCAGAAGGGTTTTGACAGCCAGAGGGGTACGGTAAGGAGGAGGAAGAGGAGGAGGAGGCGGAGGAGGAGGAGGAGCCGAGGAGGGAACCGAGAAGGGAAGAGAAGGGAGGGCTTCCCTCCGCCTCGCTCGCCGCCCGGGCTCACAGGAGCTGGCGGCGGCGGCGGCGGCGGCGGCGTCTCCTGCTCTCCGCGGCTGTTGCTGCTGCTCGCGCTCCGCCGCCCGGGAGATGCTTCCTCGCGCGGCGCAGCGCTGAGGCCGTGCGTGCGCCCCGGCTGCGCTGCGCGCTCCCCACATACACAAGCTCTCCATGTGAGCTGACAGGCGAGTGGAAACCCCTCGAGTCACGCTGCCCGGCGGCGGAGGGAGCGCTCGCCCGCAGTGGCAACAGCTGCACCACCGTCCCCGTCGCTCTGCCTTCCTCTTCTGCAGCCTCTGCTCTTCTGATTACCTCCCTCCCCCGTCCTTTGGTGATTTTTTTTTTTCAAGAAGGAGAGGGCGGGGTAGGTGTCCGTTCCCTCCCCTCTTCCCCCTCCTTTGCCTTCTTGGTTTGAATTTCCTCCCCCGGCGTTGCACTGGCACACAGTGCAAGAGGCAATACCCGCACGGAGGGAGAACGAAGGCTGAGACTCCCCTGCCGCTCCAAGCCCGGAAGAACTGGAGCCTGGAGGGGGGTGAGGGGAGAAGAGGAAGCGGGAGGGGCTTGGCTTCCTCGCGTATTTGAGGACAGCCCATCTCCCTTCAAGAACCCTACGGAGAGTCGGACTGCATCTCCGCAGCGAGCTCTTGGAGCGCCGCCGGCCGGGAGGCGAAGGATGCAGGCGGCTCCGCGCGCCGGCTGCGGGGCAGCGCTCCTGCTGTGGATTGTCAGCAGCTGCCTCTGCAGAGCCTGGACGGCTCCCTCCACGTCCCGTAAGTAGCCGTCTCCTCGCTCTGCTCTGGAGCAGTTTCAGTGCGGCATTGATGTTTGGCACCAGGGTATCAACTCCGAAGTGCATCGCAGTGCTGGCACCCTGATGTGTTTGTGTCTCCGCTGTCACACACTTGCAGCCACTGCAGTAGACAAACTCGAAACCCAGCGTTTCTGTTTTGGAAGAGACAGGGTTGTGACGCTGGTGATGTTTCTGGAAAGTTGTTCCTGGTCTTGGTGATCGGTTGGCAAGAGCTTGGCTAGAGAGACTGATGTAGATGGCAGCTTCTTAGGAGTTGTTTGTGCAGGGAGAGTTAACTGCATTTGGCTTAGGTAGGTCAGTGAATGAAAAGTGAAGACCATGGCAAAACCAAGTTTCTTATTTTTATTTATGGTTATAACTTAATGAGCACGGGGTTGAGGTTAACAAGAGGAGCATGTTTTAAACAGTTTGGGCACCTATAGGGTCTCTTTAACCTCTCCCGTTCCCTTAAAAAGTTAATGCCCATTTAGTACTTGCTTATTAAAATGGAAGGCAGCGAAATTGTAACTGAAATTGCTTTAATTCTTTGATACTTTGATATCATGGATATGACTGATGCAGTACGGTACTTGGGACACTCAGTGCAAAGCGTCGTTAATGTAGTAATAAACAGATTCTTAATAGGGTTTTCAGGAAAATAATTATATTCAATATGTATATCTCTGCATTTTAATCAACTGTGTGTGTGTGTTTGTGTGTGTGTGTGTTTAAGACTGCCCCTGTTTTCATGAGGTTTAGAAAGAAATGGAAGATTCTGGCCCATTTTCTGCATTCCTTTAGAAGTGCATACTGTGCATGTAGAGAGGAAATGCATGATTGTTCCTTTGGTTCAGAAAGAGTTAAACACTAGAAAGACTGCCTATAGGAATCTTAGGATAATATTCATAAGCGCATACTAGTTTCTGAGAATGAGTAAGTTGATAAAGAATTATCGTGGAGATTTCAGAGTTTAAAAGGAAGATTTTTTTGTCCATTTAGGAAAAGAAAAGTTTAATATTTTCCAGAATTCGTCATATGCGAAGTAGTCTTTGTTTCTAAGATTTTGGGATGTATTAATGCATCTTTGTTAATAATGATCTTATTGTAGTGGTAAATATCAACAGGAATAGCATTGAAAAAGGACATTATAAGTTGTAATAAGGAATCTACTATATAATATCCGGTTATGAGCCAGTATTACTGTTTTGACATATCTTCCTAAGTACAGTATTAGCTTTTCTTTTCCCACAATGTGTAAAGATAAGGAGATAAACTAACTGGCAATCTAAGTTTGTAATGAACTTGAAAACATTGTATAGCATTTTTTATAACACAAGTTAAATCACAAAGAGTTAAATATTGTTAATATTTATGTCAATTTTATAAATTTAAACAAATTTTGGGGATATAATGCTTGCTGTTGATATTTACACAAATATGTAACTCTATCACTGGGAAACTAGTTTGATGAAATTTCTGTTTCCATTTCAAGGTCTGGTTGTATAGAATTTCCTGCCACTTTTCCTGGAAAATAAACTCCTCATATATTAAATTTATTATATTCACTGATTGAAGGTCCTCATATCCAGGGTTTTTCCTGGGTTCTGTGTTCCATCATTCTGTATACTTTAATTTTGATGGGTCCATCTGAAACATCTGCCATGAGTAGCAAATGGAACACTGGCAGCCCTTGGGTTAATGCATTTTAAGATAAAAAAGTTGTTATTTCATAAATATTTTCTGAGTTTTCAACTTTATAGTTAGAATTTGAAGACAGAGAACATAGAAACAATTACTTTTAAGATGGTTAATAGTTATGGCCATTAAGATTTTTTATTAACTTGGCTTTCATTCTCTATTGTTTAAAAATGTGTAATGGCTTAATTAAGGTGGCTTTTTATTTCGTTTGAATTTAAACTGTGTGACCAAAATGCAAAGTTGCCCTATATCCTGGAAATGAATTAAATAATAAGGATGCTACAGAACTTTATTGATTAGAATGAGTTTCATGGATTCAGTACTTTAAATATCAACTGTACTTTACATTAATGAACATTTTTATTTACATTATATATAGCTCTGAAGAAAAGTATGATAGTTATATTCTTAATATAAAACATTCAAAGGAGAAAAAGATGGAAACTACATGAATCTAAGATAATGAGCAACTCAACCAGGAGAGGTCATCACAAGACAAAAAGTAGCATGAAAATCTAAAACTATCATTTTTCTTTGGTACACATTTTTAAAATGTGATGAGTATGCTAAAACTTTCTGTTCCTAAATACCTTTTTAATATGAGGGACAGAAGATGTTTATTTCACAACAACTGCATTTCAAATATGTATTTGCTTATGACTTATTTCTTTTTCTCTGTCGACAGACATATAAAAACTGTTAATACTATGTGTTGTACAAGCAGACTAGAATAAACTTGAAAACAAAGCTCATCACTATGGTTATGTAAAAATATAATCTAATTTCTTTGCAGATAGCGAAAATGAACTGCTGCTGAGCTGATGTAACAAATCGTGTATCTTCCCTTCCTGTAAATGTAGATACACGGGACACACGTGGGAAGTTTAAAGAAAATATTTCACTCTTAGGGAGTTGCATTTATTTGAACATATTATAAAGACCTTGATGGTGCAGTTCTAAATGATGAGGAGATTAAGCTAGCGCTTAATAAATTCACTTTTTAGAGTTAACTGAATTTTCACTTAAATAAATGATCTCTCATAAAGGCCAATTTACATCATTTAGTAGAACTATTAACCTATAATTTCATTGACCAACACATTTGGGAAATGTGTTTTGAATTAATTCACATATTCTCTAACAAATACGATTTTATACGTGTATATATACACACACATGAATATATATGTGTATAAATATATATGTATTTGTTCATATGTTTTATAAAAACATTTGAATACATGTTATAAAGTACATAGATACATATTTAATATAGCACATATATTAAGTATTATATGTAAAAATGTGTATATTTATATATTTTCTAAAACACCATTCAAGGAATTTAAGTTGTTTACAAGTTTATAGAAAGGTCTTTTTCCAGTGCAATTATTTTAAGTAACTAACGCAACAATATTAAGCAATAGTATATTAGTCTATTTTCTCTTCCTCAATTCATATACTTCTCCCAAAATGGTGTATTTTAAATGTAAAATATGTAAATGCATATAAAAGCAAATACTGCTGGTTTATAGAGACCTTGAACATAATAATGAACTTGTCTTAATGAAAACAATTTAAACTTAAAAGGAGCTTTAGGCAAGCAAAATTCATTGGTTGATAAAGCATAGCACATTATTTGCTTAATGCAACTAATAATTATTAACTAATTGGAGAGAAATGTATAATCTCGATTTTATTATAGGCACGGATATTCAGGAAGTAAGAATCATTGTTCAAATTTTACTCTTTACCATCAATATATGGCAAAATTGGGCAAAAAAATTAATCCACAAATTTAATTTAGGTCTTATTAACCTTTATGCAGTTATAAACCTACAACGTATCATTTTAGATGATATCAAAGTTGTTTGGTGCATATCATATTTTAAATCTTACAGTTATGTGCCCCATAATGACATTTCAGTTCAATGATGGACCACGTGTATGTTGGTGGTTCCATAAAATTATAATGGAGCTGTCATATATAGGTGTGCCATTTTTCATCTTGTATATTATATTTTTACTGTATCTTTTCCATGTTTAAGTATGATGAGATACACAAAGAGGCATTGTGTTATAATTGCCTATAGTATTCAGTGTAATAACATGCAGTACAGGTTTGTAGCCCAGAAGCAACAACCCATACCAAATAGTCTATGCTATGTGTGTAGTAGGCTACACTGTCTAGGTTTGTGAGTGTGTACTCTATGATGTTGGCACAAAGACAAAATTGCCTAAGGATACATTTCTCAAAATATATCCTTATTGTTAGGAAATGCATGATGATATATGTTTTTTGTCTATTTTAAGTGGGAAAACCTTTCAAGTTCTATAATTTCTTTGAGATTTAATTCACTGTTCCTTATTAGTAAATTCTTCTAGACAAAAACTTACTCAAATGTCTTAAAGTTTACATAAAGCTTCCTTTTTTTTTTTTTTTTTTTTTTTTTTTGAGACGGAGTCTTGCTCTGTCGCCCAGGCTGGAGTGCAGTGGCCCGATCTCAGTTCACTGCAAGCTCCGCCTCCTGGGTTCACGCCATTCTCCTGCCTCAGCCTCCCGAGTAGCTGGGACTACAGGCGCCCACCACCATGCCCGGCTAATTTTTAGTCTTGTGAATCTTTTTTATGATTGAAAGAGAAGAAATGTGACATGTCTACACATGTCATCTGTTTTTAAAAAGTAGATTTTTGTATTTGTTGTAAATGGTATACAGAATCAGGAGAGAATCTAGGCTCAGAAATTCTTAATTCAAATGTGCTTTTCTTTAAAATATTAAACATATGGAGATCCAACTTGTGCAAGTTGTCTGTTTAGTGATTGATGTCAGTGGGATGAAGAAATAAAACATGTACTTTAAAGATTTTCCCATCTCTAGTCCTGATTTGTGAAGTGCTTTACTTTATCATTTTTTACTACTTGCAAAGTTATAAAACAGCGTATATAGTAATTTTAAGCCTCAAAACCAGTGTTGTGTGAAATAAAATAAATTTTTATATTTATATCTGTACCAGTATCTGAAACTGGCTGTTACCTGTTTCTAGAGAGACACATATTTTAAGATAAGTAGTTATCAGAAACATAAGGTATATTTCTACAACCAGTATTGGGCTGCTGAAATAAATTATATGCTTATTTTTGCCATTTTAATAAGTAAGAATAATGATGCAATCATTTATATACAGCTGTTAATTTTCAAATGAAAGCCTTGAAAATAATACTTGTAACAGAGTGATTCACTAAAACACTGGATTTTCCCATCTCCTGGGCTCTGTAGAAGCTATATGTTTTAGTTCTGAGCAGATAAGGATGTTGGAATGTGGAGGTGCTTCCTCTTTCTCCATCCTAACAGTTCATTTTATGGGAAGAAATGTCCGTCTATCACACTCTTAGAGTCTATGTCTACAGTTCATTCGTTCCTTCCTATGTTAGGTAGAGTTACTTATCTGTTTGGTGACTATGGGAAAAGGACCTAGATGTGCTTAGCTCAGCCCCTCCTTTCTCCTTCCAGGCTGCCTGCAGAAAGAATAGATTCTGCTGAACGATAGATAAAAGTAGGCTTTGCCTCTGCACTAATAGTGATAGCGCGAAGAGCCTTATGGTGTTCGGTTCTTCCTATGGCTTGAGACTCTGTTTAATTTTAGAAATAAGGTTAATGAATCCCACTGTATCACACATTTAAGCCTTATTCTTTTGTATCAGCAATACTTATATAAAGAATGTTATTTCCTCTCTGTGAGTTATTTTCTAATCTAGAACTCAGAGAAGGGACTGAGATTGACTGTACTCAGTAAAACCACAAATATATTGAAATTGCCAAAAATAAGATTGATATTAAACTAAATGAACATGAAATAATTTCTGCATAGTTTAGAAACTAGTAAAGAATAAGACTTGGTTTTTCCATTGATATTGAGTTGAAGATTTGGTGTTACTCTGGTTAGGACTTCCAAACTCTCCCATTCATTCATTCATTCATTCATATTCCTACCCAGTGCTATCCGTGGTATTATTTTACAGAGATGCTTAGAATACCGTTTCTTTATCTGTGGTAAATAACATTGCCATTTAAAATACAGCCTATTTACAAACTTTAGCCAGTACACATCCAATTTCATCCTGTCCATGTAACTATTTAGTAAATTATATATGCCTTTAGTTGGCTGTTACATCATGATCCTTCTGTAAAATCCTGAAGGTTAAATGTTTTAAGCCAATTATTCTTTCCAACAAAGCATTTGCACTTAGAAAACAAAATTGATTCTTTCTTCAATTGTAAGTTTTGAAAAATATCTTCTTAAACTCTTCTTTAGTTCACTTTGGAGGTAGCTATTCATAATAACAGCTTGAAGTAACTGATTTTTTATGACACTGCAGATTTTAAAGCCTCCCCTGATAGTAGGAAATCTAGATATAAAGATGTGGTTGTTGGCTCTGAATTTGCTTGCTGAAGATCACATATTTTGGGTATACTGTAAAAATGTTGAAAAAATACAGAGGAGCTCCTGGGGGCCGTATTCTGTATTTACCTTGTGATTTAGGTTTGCTTGAAATACCCTCATAAACATAAATAGTGATATATGCTTTAATGTTTTTATGTTTAGGAAAGAGGTGAAATTAGATTCTGAGAATACTTTTACCAGGAAAAATTCCCCAAACATATATAAGTTTTTCCTTACCTTTTCTAGTACATTCACAACCTTCTTCATCTGCACTGGGATGGTGATCTGGAAATGTGAATCATAGAAAATGGCAGGCAATAGAGGTGTGACTGGCATACGCACTGTCAAAATTACTAAACCTGTGTTGTCTGGAACATCTAAGATGGAATCAAGTTACATAAAGTTTAGTTAAATTCAGGAAGGATTTGTTCACCTCTATGCATTAGATGTCATATTGAAATAGTATGTGAAAAGGAAAATCTTGCCTGGACTCACAATTTTTATTTACTGTTATAATGTCATCTATGCTGTTCAATTATAGTATTATTTGAAAGGAATACATGAAAAAAATAATAGGCACAGTTTGTATTGTTAAAAAAACAGTCTGTTAAGTGGTGAAATACCATGATATGCCAAATAAAATAATAACTCTAAGAAAATTGTCTTAAAATTAAAGGTGCTTCTATTTTTAATAGAAAAGGCTTGAAACCAACCCAAATGCCCATCAGTAATAGACTGGACAAAGAAAATGTGACAAGTACACACCATGGAATACTATGCAGCCATAAAAAAGGACGAGTTCATTTCTTTGCATGGACACGGATGAAGCTGGAAACCATCGTTGTCAGCAAACTAACACAGGAACACAAAACCAAACGTTGCATGTTCTCACTCATAAGTGGGAGTTGAATAATGAGAACACCTCAGCACAGGGAGGGGAACATCACACACCCGGGCCTGTTGAGGGGTGGAGGGCTAGGGGAGGGATAGCATTAGGAGAAATACCTAATGTAGATAACGGGTTGATGGGTGCAGCAAACCACCATGGCACATGTATACCTGTGTAACAAACCTTCACGTTCTGCACATGTATCCCAGAACTTAAAGTAAAATTTAAAAAAAAAAGTGCTTATTGTCACTTCTATATCATAGACTGAAGTAGTTATTTTGAACTA
This sequence comes from Homo sapiens, assembly GCF_000001405.40. Classification (NCBI taxonomy): domain Eukaryota; kingdom Metazoa; phylum Chordata; class Mammalia; order Primates; family Hominidae; genus Homo; species Homo sapiens. The sequence goes on from NC_000007.14 coordinate 146,124,310, forward strand.
ACAGAAAACACATGTGGATTAAATTTTATCACTGTTAACTGATTTTTTCTAAGCAGTCACCTCTTAATGGGAACCAAATTATTAAGTAACATAAGTACAGACTGTCTATATATATATGTCTTTTTCAGACATTGGTCAAAAATTTATAAACAGAACTACATGAAAAAATTTCAGCCTAATTATGTCACATAGTGAAATTATAGCATATTTTATGGGTCTTATTTTTAAAAATTTATTAAGTACGTGTTAAATAATGGCCTATGATGCATTAAATTACTTAATTGCTAATAAATTCTAACTTAAAATGTAAATTGTTACGTAGCATATTTGAAACATTTTTTGGTTCAAATAAAAATATGTCTGGACTATAAAATATGACTATCAGGTTTTCAGATTATGAAACTATTATACTAGCTTAGTGTTTTTAATGCCAACCAACTGAAGAAAACATGATTCGGGTGTTTTTTTCTATGTATTCATAGCAACAATAACACAATGAGTTCGATGCTGCCATCAATACTAATGTTACTAATTCTCATGGTATTTTACTCAGTGGATTTGAATGTGGCCATAGAATCTTTCTCCACACAATATGCCAGACAGCCACGTATAATCCCATGAGATTTGGTATTCAATATAAAACTTTACTTTTTTACTCAAGTTATATATATTGCCACCACCAGCAGTTTTTCAGCTAATAAAGTATACTTATGATTTAAGTCACTTGGTTAATGTCC